>NC_000006.12:17029696-17181212 GCF_000001405.40 Homo sapiens
TTGACTGGGCTAAGGGATGTCCAGAGAGCTGGTAAAACATTATTTCTGGGTTGTTTGTGATGATGCTTCCAGAAGAAATTAGCACTTGAATCAATAGACTGAGTAAAGATCACTCACTAAGTGATGATGGCTGTGGGCAGCATCCTCCAATCCACGGAGGGCTCACACAGAATGGAAAGGTGGAGGAAGGACAAATACTCTCTCCTTCAGCCTGGACATCCATCTCCTCGTGCCCTCAAACATCAGAGCTCCTATTATAGTTCTTGGGCCTGCAGACTCAACAGGCAGTTACACCATTGGCTAGCCCAGTTCGCAGGCCTTCGGATTCAGATGGAATTACACCACCAGTTTTCCTGGTTCTACAGTTTACAGACAGCAGATTATAGGACTTCTCAGTCTCCATAATCTCATGAGCCAATTACTATAATAAATCGCCCCTTATATCCATCTACTACATATACATCCTGTTGGTTCCATTTCTCTGAAGAACCCTGACTAATGCACTGGGCTAGCCTGAGAACCACACGTTGACAAGAATATATAGTGTTCTGTTTATATTGCATATTATGTCATCAGGTCTATCTGATTATAGTAGCACCTAATGTTTGTGAAACATCACACAGGTCACAGCAAGCCTTTGTTCCAGCCAATGAGCCTGTGAAGAAGGCGAGACAACCATTTCTTTCCACATCCACTGCCCCGTTGGCTCTCTGGTAAACAGAAAGGTTCTAGGAGGGGACACTGAAATGCTCAGTAGAGGTGGGATCAAGCCCCAGAGGCTGCTTGCCAGGTAGGATCTGGTTGTAACTATGATAATTAAGGAATCAAATTCCTGAGAAAAAAATGTACATAAAGAATCAGGTAGTCCCTATTGATCTACGTAGCCTGGAGAGCTGGTCCAGTGGGCAGGCTGGCCAGATGCAGAGTCCAGCAGGTAAGAAACAATACCACCTGCAAACCTGAGACTCAGGAAGTGAGTTCTGATCTGGGACACCCACAACAGTGCCGACTCCCCCACCCTTTCTGGTGTGCAGGTGGAAGGAGGGTGCATAGGTGTGAGTGGCAGATCTGGGGAGAAGGGGAAGCTGCCAGTACAATTTGCTTTTGCCTATGTAGGAGCAGAGGGCTCTGCCTTCAGGGCCAGCCAGCTACTGTGGGTCTTTACAGCAAGCACTGGCTGAATAAACCTACCTTCCCTTATGGGCCTTGACCCTCGACACAAATGCCAAGTTAGTAGCCTCAGAATTGTCTTTTCTCTTCAGAGAGAAGCGTGGAAAAGATAAAGCCAGAGGCAAGGAAAACTTCTCACTCTTCTCTGGCATGCCAGGTTCAAAGAATGCCAATAGCACCCATCATCCCACCCCATGAAGAACAGCAGCAGCCCCGAATTGGGGAAGAGCATCATGACTAATGTGCTAGAGGTTGCACTTGCACAGATGATAGAATTTATAAAAGAAATTCAACATGGGTTCTGTTATGGGTTGAATTGTGTCCTCTCAAAACAGATATGCTGAAGTCCTAACCCCCAGAACCTCCAAATGTGACTTTGTTTGGAAAAGGTCACATTCTGATGACCTTTATAGAGGTTATCAAGTTAGAATGAGGTCATTAAGACAGGCCTAATCCAACATGACCGGTGTCCTTTTAAAAAGAGGAAATTTGGACACAGACACATCCACACACAGAGACCTCCAAGTGGAGATGAAGGCAGATAGTGGGGTGATGCTTCTGCAAGCCAAGGAACGCTGAAGACTGAAGGCAAACCACCAGAAGCCAGGGGCGAAGCCTGGGACAGATTTTTTCTCCCAGTCCTCAGAAGGAACAAGCCCAGATGATACTTCATCTCAGACTTGCAGCCTGCAGAACTGTGAGAGATCCATTTCTGCTGTTTAGCCCTCATCTGTGGCACTTTATTACAGCAGTCCCTTCCCCACAGACACTAGTACTAGTCCTAGGAAAGTTCACTCAAGCTGGCAGTGGCTCAGGAGGAGAATGAAAAGGATACTGAGGCCACTCGTTTGCTTCTACTTGAGGACAAGCAGGTGCCTCTCTTCCCGCTTCTTTCTCCTTACTGCTGCTGCCACCCACACAGCCCCCAGGCTTGTCCTAGAGGGCTCTGGAGGTACACGCGAGGCCGGCGAGTTGTCATGGCAGGGAAGTTGTGGGGAGGGTGGAAATGGCGATTTCCATTCCTTTTTTCCTATTTCATGTCCTGCCTGGAACATGAAACAAAACAAAACAAAACAAGACCAAATGCCCTTGGTCAAAACACCTCTGCATCCAAATAGCCTCTGAGGCAAGGCAGCTTCTGAGGCAAGGCGGGGCATCGCCGCACAGAGGCTTGGAGCCTTTGAGGAACAAAGAGGGCTTCAGAGCGCGCTGGCACTCCTTGGCTCACCCATTGATTTTCATTTGCACAGACGCAGGCCCTCTTTTTGTAATCAGAGGGGGGAAAGCAGATCTGTGGAAGGCAAATCTACCATCAGCTGCCTAAAAATAGACCCGCCGCCTCACCACCGTGCAAAACAGGCGCCGGCCCGCTGCTGTGCGCTGGTTGCAGCATGAATTCGCTGGGCAGGGATTTGCAGTATAGACGTAGAGTTGTTCTGGCCTCTGATGCTGCGCCCGGGCCTTAAATGGAATCGCGGTCTGTGATAACTTTTGACAAGAGCTGGCAAGCTGAGCCTTTCTTTGAAATGCACTGGGGGGCTCTCGCACAAGAGCCAGGGCTTTCCAACAGGTGTGAGCTAGGGGGTAGGCCCTACAGATTATTAGGAGGGAAAGTTGTCTATGGTAAATTACCAACTGGGGGAGGTCAGAGTCAAAATCTCCATAGCAGAATTATTACTAATTGTGAAGCGCCAAGATCGTAAGAGAAGAAACCATTCTGACGTGTCATTTTTCCCAGGCCACGACATCTCTGTTAAACAAAAGAGACTCATATTTGAAGTGATGAAAAAGCCATGAAACATAATTTGAAAATTATGTCATGCCCAGCTTTGCCTTCCCTCAAGGCAAATAAAAGCCTCGGAATAAAAACGTTTCTATTTATTTTCAAATATTTGCATGGGTTGCCCCTTTAATCATCCATTCCCTCTAATATTAGTCACAAGCAGTTTAAATGGAAGCTGTTAGCATGAATGAACACTCCTTAATGGCTGGATCACTGGAGGAAGTGAGCTGTAAAGCCCAAACAGTCAGATGAAGAAAAGCAATTAATAAAATTTGCCTTTATCTCAAAGAAACTAGGATGTTTTAACTGCAGTTATGTTTTGAAGGAAACAAATATGATGGTTGATTATCACGGAAAATAGACTGAAGCCTGCCCACTTGTAAATTCACAAACTCACTTCAAGTGGAAAACCCAAGTCTGCATCCTCGAGGAATTGTACAAATGTGCATCACGAGACAAGATCTGGCCCAATGCCTAGAAGCTGGTGAGGTCACCAAACTCATTACTCAGAAAATCAGCTGTGAGCCAAGCCCTCATTCCGTTGCATTTCACATAGAATGGAGATTCCTCCGTCTTTCCCATGCTCCCACCTCCCATCATTAGAAGAAAAATGGGATTCCCAGGTATTTAACTTTAGGAATCTTACAGAGATCCAACATGGACGCTTTCACGCCACATCCTGATTTTAGCTGTGGCTCTTCTTGCTCTGTCTGGAGGCATCTCAGCAGTTAATGGGAGTGATTCACATGATCCTACTCCAATTCCTGCTATTTTAGGATACTTAGCTTTTCTTAGCCATGGATTTCTTCTGTCTAAATCTGCCCGACTGAATTGGAAGCTGCCCAGAATCTTCTTCTTTGGAAATTACATTTGTGCATCTAGGGTATATTTGTCGTTCCGCCCACGCTCCAGCCACTTTTTGAGAAGTGCAGAGCGAGTCATGTGACAGCCATCAGTGTATTTGCACCCTTTTTTGTTTAAAAACATAATCTGCATTACAAATTGCACCAATTCCTGTATGTAGTAAGTCATCATTCAATAAAAAGCACAAATGTATGCCTGTCACATTCAACATAATAAACTGCAAGTAAATACATCTTTTCTTAGTCCAAATCAGTCAGTAAATGATGTCTTTATTTTCTCTGTTATGCACCAAGTTTGCAATCAGCTTTATTCTTGATTCTCTCAGGCCAAGCCTACACAGCGTTAACTGCAGTGGAAGATTGTGCTTTTATCAGAAGCAGCTGAACACCTGAGGACAGGAACATGGCTGAAGCAATTCATTTCTCCAATTCACTTTGTTCTACTTTATCATCATCATTCCGGTATTATCATCATGTTCATCAGATTCTCCATCTAAAAAAGATTTATCACAGTGTCTGCATCTGCAGGCGATACTACAATATAGATAAAACCATTGCTCCCTGCCTGCTCCGGATGAGTTTGCAAAGAGGTATGGTATAGAAGAAACACTTTGTGCTTTGAAGCAAGACAAAACTGAGTTAAAATGGCAATCTTAGCCTGGGCAACATAGTGAGACCCCCATCTCTGCAAAAAATACAAAAATTAGCTGAGCATGGTGGTGCATCTGTAGTCCCAGCTACTCGGTAGGCTAAGGCAGGAGAATCGTCCGAACTTGGGAAATTGAGGCTACAGTGAGCCATGATCGTGCCACTGCACTCCAGCCTGGGTGACAGAGAGAGACCCTGTCTCAAAAAAATAAAAAATAAAATTGCGGTCTTATTACTTACATTAGATATTTGTTTTTGGTAATATTATTCAACCCCTGAGAGCCTTCATTTCCTTATCTATATGATGACAAGAATAGTTACCTTACAAGTTAGATGTGATAACTTCAAATTACATGGCTGTTGTGCTCGCTACACAGTGCCTTTCTGATTAAGCATTGACTAGAACAGGGTCATGTTCTTATGAAAAAAGGCAAGCTGGCCAGGCTTTATTTACTATGGATGTGTTATTAATAACGGTGATTATAATAATGGCTACCATGATCTCTTTTTATTCTATAACAAGAGGGTAAGGTCAAATATGGAACAATTTGAGCTTTAATAAAGATAATAATTGCAAGGGGGAAAGAATCAAGCATTTATCCTGACTTGCCTGTAAGAACTATTCCACTGAGTAACCAAATAGTTGCTGGAGAAACATGTCATCCCTTTGTATAGATGAAGAAACTGATAAGATAGTAAACCAGAATTTTCTCTTTTAAATTTGGATCCCTTTTTCACAAAGATCATGACCACCCCATTTGCCCTCTTTCTGTCCCTCAAACGATTCAGGTTCTTTCTGCCTTAGCATCCTTGGACTAGCTGACTGCACTGCCTGGAAAATTCTACCCTCACATCTTTGCATGTTCAACAACTTCCCATTACTTAGGTTTCAACTCAAATGCCCCCTCCTCAGAGAGGTCTTCCTTGATCACCCGATTTAAAGCAAGCTCTTCAACCCAGACACTGCCTCTTAGCACCCAGCACTTTCTACTTTTATGCTGGCCTGTTGTCTGTCCTTCAAGCAGTGCAGAAGTTCATGTGATATAATCATTAAGAATGTGGACTCAAGAATCAGATGATCCGTATTTACCTTTTAGTTTTACCACTTATTGACAGTGTGACCTTGGAAAGTGACCTAATCCTTCTTTCTGTGCCTCGGTTTTCTCGTCTATAAAATGGAGATGATAATATTTTCACTTGCAGCATAAAACTTCTGAGAGGATTATGTGAATAACAGACACAGATCATGTAAATCAACATCTGACAGAGTAAGCACTCAGTAAGTGTTAATTAAGCTTCTACAGTTACAAGGCACACGGCGCTCTGTGACGTCATCTCAACTTTAGTGTGTTTATTGTCTGCCTCCACTGCTATGAAGGCATACAGCCTGCCTGTCTTGTTCAACACTCTATCTCCAGCATGTAGAATGGCACATAGCAGGGACTCAGTAACTATGTTTAGTTAATGAATGAAAGAACATCTGGTGTGTGCATAGCAGAGACTAATGAGCAAGGTACGGAGGGGAAGAGTTGAGGGCAGAGTTGCTGTATATTAAGGTAAGATTGTTCCTGGGAACTTTCTGCTTCTGTTTGGCTGTATATTATGCATTTATTTTCTCAGTGCCTTGCAAAGCCCTCTGTTCTTCTCTGATTTTGTCCATTCTCTCAAGCAGAGATATCTAACCAGCACCTCCACATGCACTCATGACCTATGGGTATAACTTCTTAAACTGTTAGGACTCAGGAAGAAAAAGTAGAAGGAATGCAGATTTTATGCCTACTTAAGAAAGGCGGGCAGTGGGCCAACTCTGTAAAACTCAGCATCACTGTAAAAATAGAGCAATATCCAGAAAGTGAGCAAAAAGAAGGGGACTTTGACAAAAGCCGCTTCTGCCACACACCCTCACATGCAGACAGTCACACTGCAAACAGAGACACTGTCACCTCCAACACACACACAACCTTGATTGTGCTGTGCTGTTCTATAGGAATCTGTATGTCCACGAGCCATAAAGCACAGGCTCACAGAGGCTGTCCCATTCTACTACACACCCAGTGCGTGCAGTTCACCAAGTGATCACGGCACCTTGTCTCCGTCTCTTTACCTGGGCAAACATCCATGGCACCTGTCACCACTCCTCATCCAGTTTCAGTGCCCATCGCCCTCCTGATTGAGTTTCTTAATGCATTCTTGTTTGGTAATGACTAGGATGACATGTGTCCCTCTTTGTCCAGGATGGCCCTAATTTACATACTTAAGTAATATACCTCAAGTAATTACCTCAAGTAATCACCAATGACATTTTCAAAAGTGTCCCATCTTGGATACTAAATTATATGCCCACCTAGGTTTTGGTTTTGGTTTTGTTTTAGAGACAGGGTCTTGCTCTGTCACCTAGGCTGGAGTGCAGTGGTGCAATCACAGTTCACTGTATCCTCAAACTCCTGGGTTCAAGTGATCCTCCCACCTCAGCCTCCCAAGTAGCTGGGAGTACAGGTGCATGCCACCTTGCTGGGCTAACTTTTTAAATTTTTGTAGAGACAGATTCTCACTATGTTGCCCAGGCTGGTCTTAAACTCCTGGTCTCAAGTGATCCTCCTGCTCTAGCCTTCCAAAATGCTGGGATTATAGGCAGGAGCCACTGTGTCCACCATGGCCTGATAGTTATACTCAGCTTCAACTGTGAGACTCAGAAGAGAATGCAGAAATCCCAATGGGAGTCCATTTTGTGAGCCCCAAAAGATCATCAGAGAGCAATCCACTGGATCTTCTGAATCCAATAGTAAGCTAAGAAGCTTTCACTGATCCATTTCTAAAAAGAATGCAGGAAGTAGGAGGATATCAAGGTGCCAAGATTATGGTGGAAAGTTGAAATGCAGGTGAGCTATAATAAAATGGAGTGGATGAAAAAAAAAGGTGGAGTCTTACTTCCTTTAGCTTCTTTATGCTAAATACATAAGTAGGTGTATTTCACCATTTAGAATAGAGCAACCCTAAGAAACTGCCTGTAAAACAAATTTCTGTTTATCATAGCCAATGTGCCTGTTGCACTTCTATTTAAAATATATTGCTCAGTGTTTTTATATTCTGGAACAAATGGACTTAAAAGCCTCATGAAATTTTCCTTACATGTGACTGGGGTGATGTAGGTTGTTTGAGGTGCAGTGATGCTGCGTTAGTTCTTCCCCAGAGTGCACACCTTTGACATACCATATCCCCTTCCTGAAGAGCAGTCTAAAGGTCTCCAAGGCCCCCTCATGTGTGTTCTCATCTCCTGAATAAAATTCTAAATCTTTTATGCAGGAAACAAGCTTTGTATTTTTCTGACTTTTCATTCAGCTTTTCATACAAATACATAAATACCTTCTTGATGTAAAATATTCAAATAGTACTTTTCGTATATAACTCAAAAGATCTTGCACATACTTGGCATAACATAGGTGTTTAGGAAAACCTACATTTAATAAATAATATGTAGTCGTTTAGCGTATTTGAAAATGCTGCTGGTAATGTGCCATTAGAAGGTTTTTCCGCTATGAAATAGATCACACACACAAAGGAGTGTACAAAATGTATGCTAGTGTGTAAAGTCTACTAATAATACGAATGCCCCAATACTCGTCATCCAGCTTAAGAGACAGAGTGTTACCAGTATCTTAGAACTTCTCTGAATTCCCCATCCAGATTCTCCTTTTTCGTCCCTCTTCAAATTTCATGTTAATCATTTCTGCACTTTTCTTACATTGCTAGACAGTGCAAATTGTTTTCCAAAGTGGTTGTACCAGTTGACATTCACACCAGCAGTAGATGAAAGTTCCTGATGTTGTATATATATCATTGTCAATACTTGGTATTGTCTTTTCGATTTTTGACAGTCGCTTTAGTGTGCAGTGGCATCTCAATTTCATTCTAATTTGGATTTTCTGGATACTAATCCTGTGTCACTCATCATTTGAGAAAATAATTTCTCCTAATTTATGGACTTTTTTCAGTTGTTTTATGATAGAGTTTGATAAAACAGATGTCCTTAATTTCCATTTACATATTTTTCCTTTTAGACTTCGTGCTTTTTGAAGCTTAAGAAATGCTTTCCTACCTGGAAGTCATAATGATATTCTGTTATATTAAATGTTTATAATTTTCATCTTTTACATTTAAGTTGCTAACCTTACTGGAAATTATATTTGCGTATGGTATGAGGCAGTGAGATTGTTAAAATCTGGATAATCAATTGTTCTAGCACAAGTAATTAAATAATCCATCCTTTCCCTCAACTCTTAAATGTCTGCTCTGTGTTACTGAAGTTGCCACATATGCATGAGTGTGCTTCTCAACTCTCTCTTCTATTCTGTTGCTCAATTAGGTCATGTATCTTCCTAAACTAAAACCACATGTTAATCATCTTAACTTTGTGATAATATTTGATATCTGGGAATGCAATCCCCCATGCTGTTGTAGTCATTGTTACCGTTTTTCTTCTTTAGTTTGACATGTAAAACCATACTGAAGTTTTTGTTGATACTTTATTTACTCAATATCTACATAGCTTTTAATTGTTAGATAAACTATAGATACAGAAAAGCCACTGAAATGTACAGCCTAAGGAATAAGTATTAGGTGAAGAAAAACAGAACTTTGCTAGCCACCCTAAAAGTTTCCTCCACGTTCCGCAATCCAAACACAACTTCTTCACCTCACCAAAAGCAACCACTATCCTGAATTTTATAGTACGCTCTTTTTTATTTTTTTATCTTTTTAAATTTTTGTAGAGATGGGAGTCTCAGTACGTTGCCCAGGCTGGTCTCAAACTCCTGGGCTCAAATGGATCTTCTTGCCTCAGCCTCCCAAAGTGCTGTAATTATTGGCGTGAGCCACTGCGTCCAGCCATAGTCACTTTCTTGAAGTTCTTTATAATCTAAGTATAGTATTGCCTGTTTTTAACATTTATATACTGTAAAAATAGCTCTTTTGGTTGTACAGTTCAATGAGTTTTAACACATGCACAAATTCATGAAATCACCACCACAATCAGGATACAGAACAGTTCTATCGCCCCTGAAAATTCCCTCATACTACCCTTTTGTCGTCAAACCTTCCCTCACCCTTACCCCCGTCAATTACTGGTAGTCTTTTTCCAGAATGTAATATAAATGAGACAGTGCAGCACATGGCCCTGATCCTGGCTTCTCTTAGTCAGCGTAATGCATTTGAGATTCATCCACATAGTTGGTATCATTTTATCACTGAATAATATTCCACTGTGTAGATACACCATAGTTTTGTAACTGCATTCATCCGTTGAATGACATTTGGATTGCTTCCTGGTTTGGGTGACTATGAAGAATGCTTCTGTAAATATGTGTGTACAGGTTTCTGTGTGAACATGAATTTTTATGTATCTAGGTTAAATACCTAGATTGCTGGATCATACGTTAAGGGTGTATTTTACTTTATAACTGTCAAACTGTTTCCCAGAATGACTGCACCATTCCACAGTCCCACCAGCAGTGTATGAAAGTTCGAGTTGCTTTGTTTCCTCACCATCACTTGGGATTGTAAGTTTTATATATTTATTTTTGTTTTAGCCATTCTAATAGATGCATAGTGGTAGTTCATTGTGCTTTTAATTTGCATTTTCCCACTGAGTAATGGTGTTGAGCATTTTTTCATGTACTTATTTGACAACCTTCTATCTTACTTGGACAGCGTCTATTCAGATTCCATTTTTATTTTTATTATTTTGTTATTTTATTTATTTATTTATTTATTTATTTATTTATTTTGAGATGGAGTCTCACTCTGTCACCCAGGCTGGAGTGCAGTGGCGCGATCTTGGCTCACTGCAAGCTCCGCCTCCCGGGTTCACGCCATTCTCCTGCCTCAGCCTCCCAAGTAGCTGGGACTACAGGCACCCGCCACCACGCCTGGCTAATTTTTTGTATTTTTAGTTGAGACGGGGTTTCACCGTGTTAGCTAGGATGGTCTCGATCTCCTGACCTCGTGATCCCCCCACCTCACCCTCCCAAAGTGCTGAGATTACAGGCATGAGCCACCACGCCCAGCCCAGATTCCATTTTTAAATTGTTCATTGAGTTTTGAGAGTTATTTATACATTCTAGGTAACAGTCCTTTGATGCATATGAGATTTGCAAATATTTTATCCCTGTCTGTCACTTGTTTTTTCATTCTCTTACCATTGTCCTCCAGAGAGCAAAATTTTTTAGTTTTTAAGTCTACTTTATCATTTTTTCTTTTATGGATCGCGTTTTTGGTGACACGATCCCAAAAACTGCCCAATCCAAGACCACAAAGATTTTCTCTTGTTTTCTTCTAAAATTTTTGTAATTAAAAATAAAGTTAGGCTTAAGTATAAAGTTTATTTTAAGTAAAATCTTTTATAAGGTATAAGGTATATAGATGACCAATTGTTCCAAGACCATTTGTTAAAACAACTCTCCTGTCTCCATTTAGTCTTTACACCTTTATCAAAAATAAGTTGACCATGTTTGTGTGGCTCTATTTCTGGATTGTATTTTCTATTCCATTGAGCTATGTGTCTATCCTTATGCAAAAATCACTGTCTAGATTACCAATAAGTCATAAAATCCAGTAATGGGAGTCCTCTGGCTGTTCTTTCACAAAATTGCTTTGGCTATGGTAGTTCCTTTAATATTCACTAAATTTTACAATCAGTTTGTGTATTTCCACAAAATTCTGCTGGGATTATTTTATTGGAATCATTTTGAATCTATAGATCAATTTGACAAGTATTGGCATCTTAACTATATTTAGTGTTCCAATGCATTAACAAAGCATGTTTCTCAATTTTTGGGGTCTACTTTGACTTCTAGCATCAACATTTTGTACTTTTTTTTTTTTTTTTTTTTTTTGAAATGGAGTCTCTCTCTGTCACCCAGGCTGGAGTGCAGTGGCGCCATCTCAGCTCACTGCAACCTCCGCCTCCCAGGTTCAAGCAATACCCTGCTTCAGCCTCCTGAGTAGCTGGGATTGCAGGTGCCCACCACCACACCTGGCTAATTTTTGTATTTTTAGTAGAGACAGGATTTCACCATGTTGGCCAGGCTGGTCTTGAACTCCTGACCTCGTGATTCACCCGCCTCGGCCTCCCAAAGTGCTGGGATTACAGGCGTGAGCCACCACGCCCGGCCAACCTTTTGTACTTTTTAGCATATAGATCCTACATGTCTTTTGTTATATTTATACCTAAATATTTAGCTTTTGAAGCTATTGTAGATGGTGCTTTAAAAAAAAAATACAGTTTCCAATTGTTCATTGCTAATATGTAGAAGTAAGACTGATTTTTGTATGATCACCTGGCATACTGCACCCTTACTAATTTCACCTGTTGGTTCTAGGAACTTCTAAATAACAGTATTTTCTATATAGTTATCTATTATATATATATATATATGTAATATCTATCTATCTATATATCTATATAGTATCTATCTATCTATATATATCTATGTAATCCTGTTGTCTCTGAATAGAGACTGTATTATTTCTTCCTCTCTAATATGTATGAGCCTTATTTTTCTTGCCTAATTGCATGAGCAACAGCTTCCAGCATGATGTGAAATAGAAACAGTGAAAATTTACATCTTTGTCCTGCTCCTGATCTTCAGACTGAATGGCAACATTCAGTGTTTTACCATTAAGTCTGATATTAGTTGTAGGCTGTTAGTTGAGGTCCTTTATCAGATTAAAGAATTTCCCGGCCAGGCACTGTGGCTCATGCCTATAATCCTAGCACTTTGGGAGGATGAGGCAGGTGGATCACCTGAGGTCAGGAGTTCAAGACCAGCCTGGCCAACCTGGCGAAACCACGTTTCTACTAAAAATACAAAAATTAGCTGGGCATGGTGGCGCGCACCTGTAGTCCCAGCTACTCGGGAGGCTGAGGCAGGAGAATCACTTGAACCTGGGGGGCGGAGGTTGCAGTGAGCTGAGATTGTGCCATTGCACCCCAGCCTGGGTAAGAAGAGCAAAACTCTGTCTAAAAACAAAACAAAACAAAAACAAACAACAACAAAAAAAAAACCCTACTATTTCTAGTTTGCTGAGTGTTTGTATCATGAAGGTGTTTTGGATTTTCTCAAATGCTTGTTTTGCCTCTATTGAGATGATACTGTGCTTTTTGTTCTTTAGTCTTTTAATATGGTGGACCTCATTGATTTTCAAATGTTGGACCACCCTTGCATTCTGAGATAAAATCCATGTGGATGTGGCATATTATTATTTTTTCACATTGATGAATTTGATATGCTAATATTCTATTGAGAATGTTGGCATCTTTACATGGGAGATATTGTTCTGTAGTTTTGTTTTGTTGTGCTGACATTGTCTCATTATAGTATCAGGGTAATGCTGGTCTCCTAAAATGAATTGGAAAGTGCTCCCTCTTCTGTTTTCTGTTTCCAATCAGATATATCTGGGAGTGGACTTGAGATTTCATGCAGAGATTTATGGGATTCTTTTCTCAAGCTCCCTCCTCTGTGATTTCTCTATGTCCTCCAGCTCTCAGAGTCCCCTTTTCCTGGTCTCTTAGTTAGAAATACAGGATTTTATTCTCCCCATTCTGTTATACACTTTCCATGGCATGGTTCATTTCCAGGGTGAAGCGGCAAGAGAAAAGAAGCAAAAGGCTCTCCCCACCCTTTCAGATAACAGGGATCCTTTTCCTCGTTTCTTTCCTCAGAGAGGATTTTTCTCTCTCTGAGGGATTTAGTTGCCTGTTCACCACTGCTGCCACCAACAGGGCTGCAGTAATACATCGTCAGGACTGGGCATTGCCCCATGGGAGGGGCAGGAGAGGGAGAAAACAGGGGATTTCCCGTACTCTCTTTGTCCTGAAGTGCCCCACCCCTTCCTTATCTTCTGCTTAGAAAAACAGGGATTTTTCTGGAGATTTTTCTGCCCGTGCTTGTTATGCAGTTCCAGGATTCAGGCTACCCAGAGACTAATCAGGGAAATACAGAAAGAAAAAATAGGAAAGTTGCATGCCATTCACCAGTTTTCAGTTTTTTAATTCTCTTCCCAATCTACCTGCTATTGTTTATTTTCAGAGTCCTCAGACAGTTGCTTTGTTTAGTCTGTCCCTGGGTTTTTAGTTGTGATTAGTGGGACACAGAGTGTGTGCTTCCTTCACCAACTGAAAACAGAAGTCTGGTCTTTCTCATTTAAACCAAATTCGACATGTGCATTAGATCTCTTTTAGTCTACAAGTTTCCCTCCATCCTTTCCCCCCTTACAATATATTTGTTAAAGAAGCTGGGCCATTTGAGTTGTAGTATATTTCTCATACTCTAGATTTCATGGATTAAAACTCAGGTTTGATCTCTTTTGCAAGAGTATAGGTGATTGTGTGTTCTTCCACTGGGAAGCAAATGATGTTTTGTTGTCTATTTTTCTATAATCTGCAGTCACTATGCTAGACCTCTAGAATCCATTAATTCATTAGCAGGTGCAAAATGACAATGTTAACTTCCATAACTTCTTCTTTACTTATTCATTGGAGTACATTTTAAAAGAGAAACGTTTCTCCACCTACTATTTGGTTACTCAGTGGAATAGTTCTTATGGACAAGTCAGGATAAATGCTTGTTTCTTTCCCCCCTTCCAATTATTATCTTTATTAAAGCTCATATTGTTCCATATTTGACCTGGGAGCATCTTCAAGCTGGCTCCTGAATCCTTTTGATGTGACTCCAGTCATCTTTGATAACCTCCCTGCTCTCTGATATGACAAGATGTTCCAGGCTCATTTTGTGCATTTCCTACTCCAGACCTGGAATCAACCATTTCTCCAAGAAGCCTTGATATCCTTCAGTGGAAAATCTAGTAGTGTTTCAATACCATCACCTAGGTACTAGGATGCTTGTTGCTACTGGATTAGTCATTGTTTTTAAGGCATTTTTAGTGGATAGAGCTAGAAAAATTATATGTGAGATAAAATAATTTCGTATTGACTTTATATTTAAATACAGGGTTACAAATGTTTCACTTACACTTTTCTATATTACAACTGTATTTTCTTTCTTCCACACCAAGAATCCTGACTCTAAAGGATACTGGGGATGATACAATTAGAATATACCATCACTATTTGTTCAAACCACATAGTATACAGAAAAGCAAGCTAATGCTACCACTACCAGTATACATACTAAAAGCGTTTTTTTTTAATTTTCACATGTTCTCCCCATTTTTAATTGTTGTCCAGTGTCTATTTGTCAAAACATATATCCATTACATACTGTACTCTCTTTCTTTTGAGCCTCATTAAGTCTTAGTTCTAAAAGTAACAATACACTTAATGTTCACCAGCTCATCTCATGTCATTACATCTCTAGTTATTTTGGTTGTCTGAGATCATTCTGAGTAGATTACTCAGAAGGACCTCAGGTGAACAAAATTCCCTGAGTTTTTGCATCTTTAGTAGTCTGTTCTGGTTATGCTTGGAAGTCAGTTTTGCTGGATATAAAATCCTTGCCTCACATTTTTTTTTCTTTGAATATATAGTACACATTATATTTTTATCTGTTGTTGTTTGAAAGTCTAATGGTAGTATAATTTATTCCCCTGTCTAAGTTGCATATCCTTTTTGGTTAGATCCCCCCAAAGTATTTTTCCTATTTTTTAAGGTACAGCAATTTTACTAGAATATGTCTTAGTGCTGGTCATTCTACTTTGACATTCTGAGATATGCAGTGTGACTTTTCAATACATAATTTCAAATATTATTTTATTTCAAAATAGTTATCTTGAATTATATGATTTTGAGAGGGGTAATAAAACAATAAAATTTTGAGGGGATTAATAAAATAATACATCCTTTGAGAGGATTAATAAAATAAACAAGATAATAAAGTAAATAAATATAATTCAGATAACTTCAAAATAGTTATCTGAATTATATTGAGAGGATTAATACATAATAAATCAACATAATAAATTTTATTAATAATATTAATAAAATAAATTATATGATTTGAATAAAATAAATTATATGATTTGGAGAGGATTAATAAAATAAATTCACATTGCCTTTTATATATTAATATTCAATTAACATTAGCTATAATTTAAATATCAAAATTCGGAATTCTCTTCCACCACCCAGGACAGATGAAGGAATATTTGCAGCTTCAGATTTCTAAGACCCTGAATGCACTGTTTGATGGCGAGAGGAACAGTGGTCAGGAGCTAGTTATGTTCACCATAGGCTGTTAGGCACTAACGCCTCCCATATGGCACTAGGTAGGAAGCAAGACTGTAAAGATGTGCTGGCTTTGATTCTTGAATTTTGGAGCCAGAAATTCCCTGTAACTCAGCCCTAGTCCTGGAGCACACTTAGAAACCTGGAACTAAGTAGAGTCTTCATGGGTAAAATGTGTTGCCTCATTACCTGACATAGGACTAGCCCTATTTAGATATAGCTGGAAATTGGAATTGATTTAAGAAGTGCTGAAAGTTTTATCTGCCTTATTACATCTCTCACCAAAGTGATCCAGTGTCTGAAATCTCCTCTGTAACGTTGCCAAGGACAGCTCAAGTAGCAGATGCATAGCTGGGATTTGAACAGGAATCTTTCTAACTCTAAAGACAAAATTCTCAGCATTCTATTCTCCTTAGTTACTTCCACATAGTTTTAGGCACACATTAGAACTGTGTGCATGAAAACAGGGTATGTTTTCCCAGCCTGCCTTGGAGAAAAGCCATCCATTTGTTCCAAGCACTTTGCTTTCGGTTCCCCATTGCCAGTCTTAATAGTCAGCTCTAGCAGTGCTTGACTTTGCAACAACATGTACTTTATTAACTCGAGTTATATTAGAGCTGTAGGAACTGATCCCATAGATGCCAGCAAGATCTTGCCTGTGTTACCACTTCTGCCCTTCATCTTGCTAACCTGCTGCTTTGCTCCAGCACAGAGCCCTCTTGACTGCTTTCCCTGCCAGCATGGCTGGGTGGCAGAGGTTGCTGCCTGGCGTTTCATGGGCAGGCAGCATTGTAACAAGGGACATTCCAGTGTTTACTTAGAAAAAGGGTGGAGACATTTTTCTGTAGAGGTTCACTGATCATGGGAAAAAGATGTCCAGAGGCAACATAAGTAAAAAACATATATATATCAAATATAAGTCTCAGCCACTTTGCATATGTAAAACTGTTAACAGGAAAACAAATTAGAAGAAAACAATTTAAAAATTATTGTTTCATATTGTGGCTGTGTTTAAAAGGGAGATTTGGCGACAAGTAGAAAGAAGAAAGGAAATACTGTTGAAAAAAAAATTCTGAGGGATGGAGTAAAACCCAAAGGTTTAAAGAGAGCAATTGAATATATATACATATACACACACTTATTTACGCATATAGGTATATATGTACATATATGTATACCTATTCAAATGGATACATATATTGAATTGTGTCTATTCAATACATAAACTGTCTTCAAATATATATTCCATTGAATACAATATTTAATATGTGTGTATATCCATTCATTGATATTTATAAGTTACACACACACGCACACGAGAAAGGGAGAGAGAATCAGTCAAAGGAGACAAACACACTTCCCTGGCCCCACTTTGTTTTTTCTGTTGCTACCCTCTCTTTCTCTTGCAGCCATCCACCAATGTTCTGCCTTCCTCCTGTAGCTTCATTTTGGCCCAATTCCTGAGCCAGTTGTGAAAGGAAAGTAGAATAGCCACAGCCTCATTGCTACCAATGTGATGGGTCTTAGAGTCAAATCTCAGGACCCACATATGGGTTCCAACTGGCCAGGCTTATTTGCTTGGCAACCCAACGGGCTCAACAAATCTTAACAAATGACTTCCCAGAAAACCTGGAAGCTGGACAGGTAGGCAGGTGGGTGACGGTGAGGGGGTGAGGAGGGAGTGGCAGATCACAACAAGTCCTGTATCTCCATGACATGCCTAGACTGAGGCTCATCTTCACCCATTTATTGTTGGGGCTGTTATTTTACTATGACCAGAGCACCTTCTTCTTGGTGGGGGTTGAGTTTATTCCTACAAGAATCACCCTGGGAAGAGATGATGATGGGACAGGAAAAGAGGACTCAGAGGCAGGCCTCAAATTGGTTATGAGGGAATATCTCCTCCTCTGTCTGAGACTTGGAGCTAGCTGTTCAGGCCCAAGCTCTGATATCTGGAGCACTTTGGAGCTCTTCTTTTGGGGGCCCAGCAAGGCACCCGGAGGATGGCACAGGAATTAGGCTGTGTCAGTAAATTTCTCTCCAAGTTATGTTTCTTGTCCATCACTTCAGAACTCCAGGAAAACTCTCACCAAGAAATGGGCTGGTGTCTGCCCTGTAGTGGGGAATTAAGAGAAAGAATGTATTCCAAGTTGGTGACAGGGTAGACAGGGAGAGCAATGCCCTCTCCCTGGAGGCCACAGGGGTATCAATAGCAGTGGTATTGACAGCAGCAGAAGAGAGCTGGGTGCAGAAGGATAAACGTCCTCCCAGGCGTTGTAGGGGTCAGCAGCAGTATCCTGTGACAACAGAAGGACAGCGGTGGGAGGGTAAGGCCTGAGGGACCTGCACCAACCCCAGAAATTGCATGGACATCTTGAAAGGGATGAGTTCGAAAACAAAACTTATGATATCAACAGCATTGGGTTAGCATAACACCAACTGCTGTTTATTGTGTAAAAAATGCTTTCCATAAATCATCCCATTTAATCATCCCCAGAACCTTAGAAGAAAGTTAATATCTCTAGTGCTATTTTGCAAAAGAGGAGCCTTAACTGAAGCTCAGAGACAGCAAATAGCTAATAAATGACCCCGGGGGCTTTGAATCCAGATCTGTGCCTCCAAAACCAGTGCGCTTTGCACCACATCAGACTACCTCGCCCTGCTACCTCATTAATCAGAAGCTTAGGAAATCATGTGAGAACACTGACAACATTGCATTATGTAAATGAAAAGCTGCAGAGAGAATGGGCTGGGCTCAGCCTCCATTCCACACTCGGCGGCTTTTAAAGAAGTTGCCAATGGTCAGTTTTATGTTTTCATTGTGCTTGGGTAACTATAGGCATAAATGAAAATATAGTCTCTTGCTGTTGGTTTCATGCATAGGATTAAATTGAAGTGGAAGATTGGATTTGGCTCCAAGTCCAAAGTTTTCCCAAGCTGGTACAAAATTACTTCTTCTATTAATTCCATTTTTTTGGACACCTGGCTTCCATGTAACATGAGCAACTTTTCTACATTGCTCTATTTTGTTCTCTCACTTGCTTATCTTCTGAATCATTATCACAGCTCTTCCATAGCTCATGCTCAAAGTAAATATCAGTGATTGAAAGAAATTAACATGCCACAGAGGCTTCCTTCAGCAACAAAAGAAATATAACAGTCACGTTGCGGTACAAGTAAGCCTCTAATTCAGATACATAATGTTTAAACAGCCTTTAGAGATGGACCTTGTAAACCTTTTCTTGGAGAAGAAAACATAACACAAAAATATAGGTTTTAAAGTAGGTTCACATCAGACTCAATATATACCACTATTTTCTCATACATGAACCCTTTCATTTCACATTTCTTTCTGAGCCATTTGTGTCACTTTGATTTGCAATTATTTCATGAGAAACTAGCAGAGAGATATACCTGTTTATCATACTTATATTTGCAGCAGTGTAAGAATATTTAACTACATTAAAATTATGACAATATTTTACACACAGTAAGCAGCTTTAGAATAAGAAGAAAGCATTCCATTGGCCTAGATTGCAACCTTGTTCTCTGCACGTGATACAGAATATAATCTGGCATTCATCTCTAGACAGTAAGTTTTCCAAGGTTTCAATCCCACGGTGTTTGTGTGGCTATAATCTCTCAGACATTTTGCTCTCCCATTTTGTGATTCTGTCACACTTAAATGGGAGAAAAATTACATCACACTATAACCATCCAGGTCCCTATTATTAGGACATTTACTAGTGTTTTGCCTGGACATTATGAGGAATGATAGAAATACCTTTTCCTTGTAAGAGGTCCATACTTGGCGAAGGTGGTTTAGGTATAGACTAACACAAAAATGGCCTTGATGCAACAAGGGCAAATTTTAAAAGTGTATTAAACTGGCATATAGAAGTTTTCCACTTAAAATTATATTGCCATGATAAAATACTCCCAGATTACAGTTTTCATTGGTTGGTTGCTTTATATTTTCTCTGTCCAGGAAACAATTATGGACAGCTGACCATTGCTATTTGTCCAATATGGTGACCCATATATTATTAATAAAAATCCTTCCAGTGACTAATGGCTTGAGGGTAGGGATGAAGCAAGCATTTTGGAGCTTTCTTAGAGCACCATTAAGATATCACCAAAACTTCATTCTAACTCCAGCTGTCACTTCTAATATTTTAACCCATGATGGATGAATTTTTAAATATAGATGCTACTATTTTTATTTAAGTGGCTAGGAATTTTTCCATGTTCACAAATAATGCAAGACTGAATGAAAGGGCCTGATATTAGTCTGAAAATGGAAAAGTGTTGATGGAGGCAGTCTCAGTAATTCTGTCCCCTGGTCACATTCTCCAGAGGGGAGCATGAAGAAGCTTAGAAATAAGGAAGACTTTTTTTTTTTTACCCAATTTATCAAGACCAGGACATAGTGACTTACGTTGCACGCTCTTTCGTTATAACAGTAGCACCTCCACTTACTATGTACATACTCCATACCAGACACTGTTATAGGTAGAGGCTGTACATATGTTTGCCCTTTACAATGACCCCCCATTGTTATCTGCAACTTACAAGAGAAAACTGAAGTGAGACACATTATGGACCAAATTTAAAGTGACAGCTATGTCAGGCTTCAAACTCAGGCAAGCCTGGCTTGAGGGCCTCTCCTTTCACCAGGATAAGATTCCGCCTCTGATCTCATGTGATGATAACACACACCTGGCATCACGAGGTCCTCATCTGCTTTAGAGATGGCTGAATGAAGCTAGGTAGATTTCAGTCATACCCACACCACAGTTAATAGGCCCTCATCTGGGGATAAATCTGGAGTAATTGCAACTCTCTACTCCCCTGGCTTTAATTTGGATTATCAACATTTTCAAACCTCCTAAATAAAGTGATTAGAATGGAAATGTTGTCATGCGAGATATAGTTGGCAAATTCCCTTATAGTTGGGTGATATATAGTAAGAAATACATGTTTGGTCTCTGCCCCTGGCTCCTCTGCCTCTGGCACGCAGCCCCTAAAACTCTTGAAATCTCTGGGGTTCTCAGAGTGTCTTCTGTAGGCTACTGAGATGACTGATAGCTGGGGGCTCTTAGGGTAGCTTCCAGATGGGGGCTGGTCACCAGAAAGACCAAGGCAGGATAAGGTTGGGACTTTCAACCCCATCCCCCAACCTAGAGGGAGGGGAGAGGGGCTGAAGCTTGACTTGATCACCAATGGCCAACGATGTAATTAGTCATACATTACATGTAATTAGTAATGAAGCCTCCATAACAACCCAAAAGGACAGAGTCTGGAGAGCTTCTGCGTTGCTGAAGATATGCAGGTTCCTGGAGGGTGGTGCACCGGGAAAGTGCGTGGAAGCTCTGTGCCCCTTCCCATATGCCTGACCCTACACAATTGTTCCATCTGGCTGGTCATCCATAGCCTTTATAATATCTTTTGTAATAAATGCACAAATGCAAATAAAGTGTTTCTCTGAGTTCTAGCAAACTAATCAAACTCTGGGAACCCCAAATTATAGCTGGCTGTTCAGAAGCACAGTTTGCAACCTGGGGTTTGTTACTGGTATCTGAAGTGGGGGCAGTCTTCTGGGACTGAACCCTTAACCTGTGGGATCTGATCCTATCTCCAGGCAGACAGTGTCGGAATTGGATTGTGGGACAATCAGCTGGTGTTCATGGAAAATTGCTTGGAGTAGGGAAAAATCCCCACACACATTCTCGTGATCAGAGGTCTGAAGTACTCTGTGTGTTGATTCTGTAAGAGTAGGAAAAATACTTTGGTTTCTTCTGTCTCTAACAGTGGTTGCCATTTGTTAAGAAATTAGCAGGATTAGGATTGAAGAGGCCAACACTTGGAATACTTGGTTGAGAAGAGATTTCAGATGACTGTCTGCCATTGTCCACCCCTTTGACTAACCAGCCTTTTAATATATTCATATGCAGTCATGCACCACCACATAGCCATGTTTCTAATCAATGCTGGACCACATATATGACAGTGGTCCCATAAGATTATAATGGAGCTGAAAAAATCCTATCACCTGGTGACATTGTAGCCATCATAAGGTCTTAGCACAGTGTGTTTGTGGTGATTCTGGTGAACTCAAACCTACTTACTGCACTACCAGTCATATAAAAGTAAGGCACATACAATTATGTACAGCACATAATGCTTGAAAATGATAATGAACGACTATGTTACTGGCTTACGTGTTTACGATATTATACCTTTTATCATTATTTTAGAGTATACTCCTTCTATTTACTAAAAAAAATAAAAGTTAACTATAAAATAGGTATTCTGGAAGAAGGTGTTGTTATCATAGATGACAGCTTCAGGTATTCTTGCCCCTGAAGAGCTTCCAGTGGGACAACATGTCTCCACATGATATTAATGTGATGTCAATATCACAGTGATGTTGATGATCCTGACCCTGTATAGGCTTAGGCAATGTGTGTGTGTCTTCATCTTTAACAAAAAAGTTGTAAAAGTAACAAATATATTCAACATTTTTAAAATAGAAGAAAAGCTTATAGACTAAGGATATAAAGAAAGAAAATATTTTTGTACAGCTATACAGTGTATTTATTTATTTATTTATTTTTGAGACAAGGTCTCTCACTCCATTGGCCAGGCTAGAGTGCAGTGGCATGATCATGGCTCACTGCCTCTTGGACCTTCTGGGCTCAAGTAATCCTCCCACCTCAGTCTCCCAAGTAGTTGGGGCCACAGGAGTGCACCACCATATCCAGCCAATTTTTTAATTTTTTGTAGAGACAGGGTCTCCTTATGCTACCCAGGCTGGTCTTGAACTTCTGGGCTCAAGTGATCTTCCCACCTTGGACTCCCAAAGTTCTGGGATTACAAGTGTGAGCCACTGTGCTTGGTCAATGTGTTTGTGTTTTAAGCTAAGTGTTATTACAAAAGTGTCAACAGGTTTTTTTAAATTTAGATGTTTATAAAGTTAAAAAAAGTTAACAGTAAGCTAAGGTTAATTTGTTATTGAAGAAAAAATTTTAAATAAATATACTGCAGCTTAAGTGTACAGTGTTTATGGAGTCTAAGGTGGTAAAGCGATGTCCTAGGCCTTTACATTCACTCACCACCCACTCACTCACTCACTCACCCAGAGCAACTTCCAGTCCTGCAAGCTCCATTCATGGTAAGTGCCCCATACAAGTGTACCATTTTTTTATCCTTTTTTTTTTTTTTTTTTTTTTTTTTTAGACCAAGTCTCACTCTGTCACCCAAGCTAGAGTGCAGTGGTGCAATCTCGGCTCACTACAACCTCCCCCTCCTGAGTTCAAGCGATTCTCCTGCTTCAGCCTCTCAAGTAGCTGGATTACAGGCGCCCATCACCACACCCAGCTAATTTTTGTATTTTAGTAGAGATGAGTTTTTGCCGTGTTGGCCAAGCCGGTCTTGAACTCTTGACCTCAAGTGATCCACCAGCCTCGGCCTCCCAAAGTGTGGGATTACAGGCATGAGCCACCGCGCTTGGCCCCATTTTTTATCTTTTATACCATGTTTTTGCTGTACCTTTTCTGTTTAGATATGTTTATATGCAGAAATACAATTGTGTTCCAGTTGCCGACAGTATTCAGTACAGTAACATGCCGTACAGGTTAGTAGCATGAGAGCAATAGGCTGTACCATCTAGCCTATGTGTGCAGTAGCTATGCCATCTAGGTTTGTGTAAGTACACACTGATTTTCATGCAATGACAAAATCACCTCATGATGCATCTCTCAGAACTTATCCCTGTCGTTAAGCATGACTGTAGTACACATTCATCCCATCTCCATTAGGATGACCCCAAAGTCTCATCAAATTATAGCAACAGCTATAATTTGCTCAGTTTCTGTAGTAAATGGAAACCTTAGTTCTGTAGAAAATGGAAAAATGGAAAGCTCAGTTTCTGTAGTAAATGGAAACCTTACTTCTGTCCATCCCAATACAATAAAGAGGGATGAGTTGGGGCAGCCATGACATTCCCTTAGAAAGCAGAGCTTTAGGGAAGAAGAAAGAGATGGCTTAGTAAATTCACATGATTTTAGCAGAGCAAAGAGAGAGATAAGAAAGAGGAGAGAGGGCGGACGAAAGATGAGAGTTGGAGCAGAATGTGCTGAGAGGGCCATTTAGGAGCCAGAGAGGTCTTCAGGAGGAGCCTGGCATTACTTGACTCATTGCAGGCAAAATTGGAGAAGAGGGGTCATTTCTGTTTCTGAAAATGTACTCTGATATCTCAACTCAGCAGAGTGACCGCTTATTCTGAGTTTTATGTTCTTGGACCTTTTCTCCCTGTGCAAACAAGAATGTCCTTTACTTTAAATCCTAAGTCCCTATGAAAGTTAGGGACTTTCCAGACACTGTGGACTCTCTGTCCAACCTCCCTTATTAGCAAACCCTTATTTTTGTTTGGGTGCTCAGCCTTCCTCTTTGGGACTCAGGAGTAAATCTTGATTAGCCTCAGACAATCATGGTGGTCCCATTCCTCTTGACAGTAGCAGGTTAAGGTGTGCATGTTGCTCAGTTCTGGCTAAATGAGACATGGGAAGACATCTACTGAGGGGGGCTTCTGGGAAAATCTTTCCTTTCGTGGGAAGAAGCAATCCCTCTTCTTCTGCTCCATTTTGTAGTGTCTGAAAATAGCACCTTGAACAGAAGCAACCATCTTTTGACCATGAGGAGGCTAGCCAGGGACAAGGTAGAGGCTAGCCAAGGGTCAACCTGTGAGGAAGACAGCAGAAAGGAAGAAAGAATCTGGGCTTAAGACATAATTTAGCCACTGAGCTGACCACACCTGGATCTGGGCCCTATCCAGTAACTTCTTGTTATGGGAAAGAATGCATCTCATCATGTTTAAGCCCTTTTGAGTGGGTTTCCTGTTCAACGGTACCTAGGATTTGTTTTTTGGTTTGTTTTTTTTTTGTTTTTGTTGTTGTTGTTGAGACGGAGTTTCACTCTTTTTGCCCGGGCTGGAGTGCAATGGCGCGATCTCAGCTCACTGCAACCTCTGCCTCCTGGGTTCAAGCTATTCTCCTGCCTCAGCCTCCCGAGTAGCTGGGATTACAGGCATGTGCCAACCGCCCAGCTTATTTTGTATTTTTAGTAGAGAAAGTGTTTCTCCATGTTGGTCAGGGTGGTCTCAAACTCCCGACCTCTGGTGATCTGCCCACATCAGCCTCCCAAAGTGCTGGGATTACAGGTATGAACCACTGCGCCCGACCAGTACCTGGGATTTGTTTTAATCGGATATGGTAAGACATGCAGACATGGAAATGACCATCATGAAGGAAAAAGTCTTAACTGTAGTCACAGTCCTCTAGAAAGACGAGGCAGAGCATGCCATGTGGGGCCACATGGTAAACACTTAGGCATGATGAGCTGTCAGAGAGTGGGAGGGACTGAAGGTGGCAGGCTTTGCTGTGGTTTTCATGGGAAGGAATGATCCAGGCAAGGTAAGCAGGCTAAGCAGGTTTAGGATTTGCTAGTTTGAATAATTTCAGCAAACCCAAGGCATAAGAGCAGACCCTAGTCATGTGTTACCAGGCCCTGGAGTGATTAGGGCAGGGTGCTAGTGGCCCAGAGTGTAAGAGCCCACTAAAAGGAGGAGGTTGCAAATATGGGCTCTGGAGTGGTTGGTTTGTATATCAAAAGCACACTCAAAGACAGGTGATTTACTATCTCTAGCTATTAACTAACCCTGGAAAGGGCAATTTCTTCAGGGTCAGTAAGTCCCCGGATGTCAGAGCATCAAGAATACAGGAAATAAAATAGCATAGTTAATTGTTATTTCAGCTGACACAGTTGTTTTCAAAAGTTTTTGAGTTTTAAAATGAACGTGAAACCATTAGGAAAAATATGTGTTGCCAAAACCTTGTCTCTACAAAAAATATAAAAATTAGCCAGGTGTGTACCTGTAGTCCCAGCTACTCAGGAGGCTGAGGTGGGAGGACTGCTTGGGCCCAGGAGGTGGAGGCTGCAGTGAGCCATGATGGCACCACTGCACTCCACCCTGGGCAACAGAGCAAGACCCTGTCTCAAAAAAAAAAAAAAAATGAGATTTATTGTAGTATCTCAGGAATACTCAAGAAAATAGAAGAGATTATTTTGTTTTGCTGAAAGTTATCTGTTAATACTTCCTCAAATGATTCCATATAGACAGCTATACATTCTATCTCAGCTAAAAGGTCTAAAAAATCAAAAGAAAACCAAATTTCCAGTGGTTTAACTAAATATCATATTATGTTCTTATACATCAAACACTCCAGAGGTAAGAGCTCAAGGTTTGTACAGCAGCTCCACAATGATATCAGGGTATTCACAGCCCTATCTTTCTTCTTGGTCATCCCTAAAATGTGACTTTTAGCCTCATTCTTGTTGCTTCATGGTCACAGAAGGCTGCCTCCTCACCTGATAGTGTTTGCATTCCAGGCCACAAGAGGTGAAAGTTGCCTGGAACACATCCAGCAACTTCTACTTATAACTCGTTTGCCAGAACTGTTTCATATGGCCACCTGTCACTCCAAGGGAGGCTGGGGAATGTATATTTTTAGCTGGACCTGCCATTTCAAACACTTAGAATTCTGATATTAGTAATGAAGGAGGCAACGGATATTGGATAGGCAACAATTGCTGTCTGCCATGGTTCTCCCTATTGGCTACCCAATGTTTTTGGGTTTTTTGTTCGTTTGTTTTTGTTTTTGTTTTTTTGAGACGGAGTCTTGCTCTTTTGCCCAGGCTGGAGTGCAGTGGCGCAATCTCAGCTCACTGTAAGCTCCGCCTCCCAGTTTCACGCCATTCTCCTGCCTCAGCCTCCGGAGTAGCTGGGATTACAGGCACCCGCCACCACGCCCAGCTAATTTTTTGTATTTTTTTTTAATAGAGATGGGGTTTCTCCGTGTTAGCCAGGATCGTCTCGATCTCCTGACCTCGTGATCTGCCCACCTCGGCCTCCTAAAGTTCTGGGATTACAGGTGTGAGCCACCGCGCCCAGCCTGGCTACCCAATGTTTTTATAAATTCCTAGAACACATTCATCCCCACCCCATGAAGATTATTCCAAAGTCTCAAATTAGAGCAACACACTCAAAGTCTGGTTTCTGTAGTAAATCAACACCTTCCTCTGTCCCGTCCCAGTGCAGAATACATAGTGGCCTAATCTTTGATGTATTCAAACTAAGACCCTTGTCTGATGAATATTAACAAGGTGTTGCCTTCTTTTAGGCAAAACCCACATTCCTATATTTCCTGGTGCACAAAGGAAAGCAGATTTTCACCACAGTGCTTTCTTTTCAAACTTTCAAAAACTTCCTTGGAAATAGAGCAGTTAGTCCGATGCTTTTCTTCTTCTAAGTCAACCAAAAAATAAAACGTTTCCAATGAAGAATGAGTTCTATGGGGAATTTAGAGGGGAAGAATCTCATGCAAAGAATCTCATGCTCTCTATAAGTAGTTTTGGT
Organism: Homo sapiens; assembly: GCF_000001405.40. Taxonomy (NCBI): domain Eukaryota; kingdom Metazoa; phylum Chordata; class Mammalia; order Primates; family Hominidae; genus Homo; species Homo sapiens. The sequence continues at coordinate 17,056,876 of NC_000006.12, forward strand.
TAATAAAGTAATGAGTAGTTATAATTTTCCAGCAATTATAAATAGAGTGGGTTATTTGGAACTCCAGAAAGAACTCTGCTCCATAGACTAACTTAATAAAACCTATATATATAAAAATATATAGATTTGTGTATAACATTATATTTATATATTTTATATTATATATAATTTATAATATAAATATATAGACTTATTTTTATATACACACACACATATGAGAACACTAGGTATTGTGTAGGTAAGATCATTACAAATATGATGAGCACAGATTGGATTTGTTATTCAAAAATAGGATTTTACATGTAATTATAATGGTTGATAAAACATTACTAGTATTCTGAAATCATGTTTTTCCCCAGTGTCAAATTTAACTCCTCATTCCCTAGTACTTGTCTCAGCTGCTTTAGGACACAGAGTCAAATGATAATAATCATAAAAACAATAATAGAACCTAACACTTACTAAACACTTAAGATAGGTTAGGTAATGTTCAAAGTCTTTACGTGTATTCACTAATTTAATCCTAATAACAATCCCAAGAGGGTGGGATGCTATTTTTACTTTTTGCTGAGTCATAGACAAGTCTTAATAAACTTAATTGGGCTCAAAAAACTTGGCAAACTTAACAGGGCTCAGTGCTCCCACGTGAAAGATCTGCTTTTTGGGAAGGAGATGAGTCAAAGGAAGCTGTAGAAGTTGAAGAGGTTTGCAGATAGGTAGGAACAGGCAGAATAATTATGACTAATGGAGAAGATCCACATGTCCCCTCCATGCCCCAGTCCTTCAGTTTGTTAATTCTAATGTACATATCCCAGTGGTAAGTATCAACAACACTTTTCATTTTATTTTATTTTATTTTTTTGAGACGGAGTCTTGCTCTGTCGCCCAGGCTAGAATACAGTGGCACAGTCTTGGCTCACTGCAACCTCCTCCTCCTGGGTTCAAGAAATTCTCCTGCCCCAGCACCCCCAGTAGCTGGAATTTCTGGCACACACCACCATGCCCGGCTAATTTTTGTATTTTTAGTAGAGACAGGGTTTTGCCATGTTGACCAGGCTGGTCTCAAACTCCTGACCTCAGGTGATAGGCCCACCTCAGCCTCCCAAAGTGCTGGGATTACAGGCATGAGCCACTGCACCCGGCCTCAATAATACTTTTTAAACACAAGCTAGAAGCTACGAAAATTTGAGTTGATACCTTGATTAAATAACAAGGTAGAGATTCACTGTGAGATGTGTAAAAGATGACATGGCTCTTCTTGCCTCTTCCAGGTGGTTTCTTATGAGAAAATGAGTTTACATTCAGGAATAAAAAGGATTTATTAGAAAGCATTTGGGAACTGTTAGGGATTACACTTGCAAATAAGATGCTTCTATTTAGAAATATTGAGAATTCATATTCATCTAATACCCAGGTACCTCTGGAAGTGGATTACATACAAGCATTTATATTTGCATAATAATATTTGTAGAAATAATTTCTACTCTATGCCTTGTTCTTCAGAGGAGAAGTAAATATCTGAAAGGAGAGAAAAACTAAACCCAAAGACAATAGAAAGAATTCAACTGACCTAAAATGTTTATACACTAGCCCATGCATTGTACAGTGCTGAAAATGACATAGTAGGAACTGAAAAGGTACTACCTTTGCACACTAATGAATCACCAAAACTTGGCTATTAATAAGAGGGTGTTAAAAGATCACACGTTCTCCCTTATTTGTGGGAGCTAAAATTTAAAACAATTGAACTCATAGAGATAGAGAGTAGAAAGAAGGTTACTAGGGGTTGGGAAGGGTAGTGGGGTGGGGGAGAGAGGTGGGGATGGTTAACAGATACAAAAAAAGTTGTTAGAAAGAATGAATAAGACCTATTATTTGCTAGCACAACAGAATGACTATAGTAAAAAAATCATTTAATTGCACATTTAAAAATAACAGAGTATATCAGATTGTTTGAAATAAAAAGGATTAAATGCTTAAAGGGATGGACACCCCATTTACCCTGATGTGATTATTATACATCGCATGCCTGTATCAAAATAACTCATATATTAATCTCTCAAATATCTCATAATATCTCAAAATAACCCACAAATATATACAGCTACTATGTACCCACAAAAATTAATAATAAAAACAAAAGAGAAATGTAAAAATAAATAAAATAAAGGGGTACCAAATCTGGGAAAATATATTGGCAGGAATTTCCAGGTCCCACGTGAAGGAAGAGATGGGAAAAGAGAGTCTCAAAATGACAACATGAAGTCTGAAAAAAATTTTGGACAGAGAACTAAGATTGCCCAGAGGACAGAGGAGCACGTGGCTGTGTGATCCTAATGCTCCTACACTCAGGCTGTGGCTATGAATGAGGTCATAGTACTAGAAATAATTCAGACTTTATAGTTTATCTCCACTATTTGGCTAATCCAGCTCTCCACCTCCCACGCTTACTCCCGGGAGTCCCCTAGGTACCACACATTTGCCCACGAAGAACCCCTCATATGTGCCCAGCCCCACCCTCCTCGCTGATGTCCATGGTCCACGTTGCCTCCTGGGGCTGGCATGCCATTTCTGCCACTACAGGTTCCCTCTGGATGGGGATGCAGATTTCATGACCAGGGCACTGATGTCTTTAGATAACTTTTATAGATAGCTTTTAACTATTACAGTTCAAAATACTGACTGTTCCAGGGCTGTGCCACATTATTCACAAAAATGGGAGGCTGGCAACTGGGTGATACTCTGACTTTCTGGCAACAAAGCAGATCTACCCATCTCTCAGGGTCTCTTGTAAAAACAGTTCTAATCAGCTTCTACCTGTAGCCCCTCCTGCCCCCCACCAACCCCCGACCCCGACCCTGCCAACACTCTAAGACCTAATTTTTAGGGCCACCCTCTATCTTTGAGAAGCAAATAAAGGTGTAGTTAGAAGTCCCCTCAGTTCTTTGCCATCCCTTCCTCTCCCTCTTCAAGCTGTCTCCATCAGTAGTTGAAAATCTATCCGATTCCCAGTGCAATAATCCCATCTCCTCACCTATCACTATCTCACAGCCCAAGGACGATAACCAGGGATATCTCATTACAACACCCTTGCCACTGCACCAACAACATCCTCATCACTACTGAGTAATTTCAGGGCTATTACAAAATAAAGTGAAAATAATGTCTAAACTTGTCTCCTGGATGTTATGCCAAGTTTGGGATCTCCGTCAAGCCAACACCCTCTATTCATAAAAGTGTTTTCACTGGAAATGCATGGGCTGGCCTTCAGTTGTGTTTGTGGTATTTAAACTTACAGCTCCTGACCATGTCTGATGGGACAAGGGGTGAAAACATGAGTTTAAAGAAATCAATCCACAGGCTAACCATATCAGTTGGGATCCTGGCAAGAAATAGAAGGCATTTACAAACTTGGATAATGAGAAGAGTTTAATAATGTGTAGGCAGACATCAAGAAAACCAGTAAATTTGTACAGCAATCTCAGGCTAGCAAGGGCTAGGAGCTGTTACCACCCCTTGATCTAAAGTGTAAGAGGAGGAAGAAGTTGCTTGAACTCAAAGAGAGTAGTTTCATAGAAAGGGCTACCTGACAGAAAGAACTACTTTTGGTGGAGTGAGGTGGCCAATTCGTGGCAGGCCACCAGAGAATGAGCTTAGAGAATATATAATGCAACCTCATTCTTCTCCACCCTCTCATCCCTTACCAGTGCCTCTCATTGGCTAGGCCCAACCAAAGGACAGAATGCAAAGAAGCCACCAGCATAGCCCATACAGGCCAACTTGGTGAAGCACAGAGCAGGATGGAGCGTGGCCTGGGGAAGGAAAGTGGATCTGGAGGGATAAACTGTAATGTCCATCAGAGCCTACTTCTTCCACCATTCAGCCTTCATGCTTGAGCTTTCTCCAGTGAAAAATTCCTCTCTCCAACAGGACAGATGCACAAAATTCCATCAGCAATTCTGTTATGTGAGATATATAATATGATAAAGTTATTTAACAGCAGTGATCTGCAAAGAAGGTAGCAGAAGAAAATGAGAAAGTAATTAGCATAAAATGTAGCTGCTACAGTCCTTGTTTCAATAACTGGTCACGAGGCCCAAGTTGTTATTCATAGTTTCCTTACTCCATGTACATTCTATGTTTCTCTTACTCTTTACCAACATGTCATCTGGTTGGAGTTCTTTACATTGTGAGGTGATCCCAACCATCATTACTATAGGATCTGAGTCGTTGGTGGTCCTGTCTATACTGGGTTGCTCCAATTTTCCATTGACCAAGACTGAAGTACTAAAAGGCTCTCCAATATATCTACTGGGTTCCGGACATAGTGTTTCTTGCCCACACTGCATAGCAGCAACCCAGTTTCCCTTTAGGAAATCAATACTGGTGATTCTAGAAAGTACAGTGACCCCTAGCTGTTAGTTCTCTGGCATGTGAAGACCTGAATGATCAGTAAGTAATTTCAGCACCCAATCTAATGGAAACACTACTTTGTTCCCTGGTGGAAGCATTCTTCCATTGGCTAATAATAGGATCTCCAAACCCACTGAGACTAAGATTATAGAGGTGAGTTGCTAAAAGAGTGTATCATCATCAGACCTACACTATAAGAAATATTAGAGGAAGTACCTAGGGAAGAAGAAAAATAATACTAGATGGAAATATGGATCTACACAAAGGAATGTGGAACACCAGAAATGGCAAGTATATGCATAAATATAAGAGTTTTTAAACATATTTAATCTCTTAAAAAGGTATTTTTAGGCCAGGCTTGGGGGTTCATACCTGTGATCCCAACACTTTGGGAGTCTAAGGCGGCCAGATCACTTGAGACCAGGAGTTTGAGACCAGCCTGGCCAACATGGCAAAACCTCATCTCTATCAAAAATACAAAAGTTAGCTTGACGTTGTGGCACATGCCTGTAATCCCAGCTACTCAGGTCGCTGAAACATGAGAATCACTTGAACCCAAAAGGCAGAGGTTGCAGTGAGCCGAGATTATACACTGCGCTCTGGCCTGGACAACAGAGAAAGGCTTTGTCTCAAAAAAAGAAAAGGCATTTTTTAAGCAAAAATAATAATGTTATATGAAATGCATGACAATAATACTACAAAGGCCAGAGGCAAGAAATTAAAGTAACTGCAGTAAGGTTATTTTGCTATGGATGGAGTGATACAATATTGCTTGAATGTAGACTGTGATAATTTTAAAATGTAAAACATAAGTCCTAAAACAACCACTAAAACACAAACACAAAATGTTGTACCTATTAAGCAACAAAGGAGCTAAACTAAAATAATAAAGGAAGGCTGAAAAAATCCAAAAGAAAACAGAAAATAGAGATAAAAGGATAAAATAGAATAATTTTTAAAACATACAATAAACCCAAAAGAAGGCAGAAAATGAGGAACAGAACAGATTGGGACAAAAATAAAGCAATTAGAAATTTGATATGGTCCATCCATAATAATCATATTAAATATAAATGGTCTAAACACCCCATTTAAAAGGCAAAAATGTTCAGTTTGTATTGAAAAGCAAGACCACCATGTCTATCTTAACATCATGTGAAAGGAGAATTCAGAGTAAAGAATATTATTGGGGATAAAGAGGGTCATTTCATAATGATAGAGGTCAATTAATCAAGAAGATATAACATTTATGCAAATAACAACAGAATTTCAAAATACATGATGCAAAGGTTTGATAGAATTACAAGGAGAAAGAGAAAAATCCACAATTACAATCAGAGATATCAACCACTGTCAGTAATTAACAGAAAAAGTAGACAGAAACTCATCAAGGACAGAGAAGACTTGAACAACACTATCAGCCAACTTGGCCCAACTAGCATTTATGGAACATGCCTCTTCATAATAGCCAAATATACACTATTTTAAAGAGCACATGGAATATTTACCAAGATGGACCATATTCTGGGTCATAAAACAAGTCACAATAAATTTAAAAGTATTCAAATCACCCAAAGTATATTTTATGGCAATGAAATTAAATTAGAAATAAATAACAAGAAGATATCTGGAAAAACCCCAAATACTTAGAAACTAAATCACACACTTTTAAATAACTAAATAACTCATGGGTCAGAGAGGAAATCAAAAGGAAAATCAGGAAGTATTTTGAACTTCTGCTTATTATAAAACAGAGTTAGCAAAATGAAAAGCAAGCTACAAAATGAATGTTGATAAGACATATATCTGATAAAGGACTGCAATCCAGAACATAAAAATAATTCCTTTAAATCAATAATAAAAGGACAAACAACCCAATTAAAAATAGGCAAGAGACTTCAATGAGGAACTAACCAAAGGAGTTATCTGTATGACTAATAAACACATGAAAAGTTGTTGTACATCATTAAGCATCAGCAAAAAGCAAGCTAAAACTAAGCAACATGCCACCAAATACCCATTAGAATGGCTAAAAGTAAAAAAGACTAACAATATGAAGTGTTAGCAGGAGATGGAGTAACTGGAACTGTTATACATTAATGATAGATGTGTATAATGGCATGCCCATTTGAATAAATGGTCAGAAATTTTTAATAAAGTTAACATGACCTAGCAATATGTACATATCCAAAATAAATGAGTAGTCACCATCAAAAGTCTTATACAAGAATGTTCATAGTCACTTCATTCATATAGCCCAAATCTGAAAAGAACCCAAATGTTCATGTACAGGTGAATGAATAAACAAATTCTGGATATTCTACTGAGGAAAAAAAAAAAGGCAAAACTACTGGTGCATGAAACAACAGGCATAAGCCTTAGAAACATTATGTTGGGTCATTAAAGACAGATCCAAAGGAGCCAAATTGCATAATATCGTTTATATAGAATTCAGAATAGGAAAAACTAATTTAAGTGGATGAAAGTCAGAAGAATTATTTGGTGGAGGGTGGCTTGTTAACTGGAAAGGAGCATGCATGAGGAAACTTACTGGGGTGATGAAAATATTTTATATCTTGATCTGGGAGTAGTTATATTGATGTAAATATATGTAAAAATTCATCAAGCTGTACATTTAAGATTAGTGCATTGTATTTTACATAAATTATGCATCAATTTTAAAAGAACTATAACATATGAACAGATTGCTGGGGCCCTCCCAGGATCTTGGAAGAGACTTGTGCAAGATGATCAATTCCAAAATCGAGTTCAAGGTAAAGTGGTAAGATTAAAACTAAACTAATGAACAAATTCACCAAGGTTTTGGGATACAAGATCAATATATAAAAGTCAATTCTATCACTATACAATAACAATGAACAATTTGAAAATAAAATTAAGAAAATAATTTCATGTATAGTTGCATCAAAAAGAATAAAATACTTCAGAATTCATTTAACAAAAGAAGCGCAAGACTTTTATGCTGAAAACTACAAAAACATTGTTGAAAGAAATTAAAGACCTAAATAAATAGAAAAAAGACCTACATTCATGGATAAGAATAATTAATATTGCTAGGGTGGGAATGCTTCTCAAATTAATCTATGGAATCAAGATAATCCCTATCAAAATCCCACTTGATTTCTTTGCAGAAATTGACAAGCTGATTCTAAAATTCCTCTGGAATTGCAAGGCACTGAAAATAGCCAAAAACAATCTTGAAAAAGAAAAACAAAGTTAACGGACTCACATTTTCCAATTTCAAAACTGTAGCTTATTGCAAAGCTACAGTAATCGAGAGAGTCTTGTACTGGCATAATAATAGATGTATAGACCAATAGAATAGAATTGAGAGTCCAGAAGCAAACCCTTAATCAGCTGATTTTAGATAGGGGTCCTAAGATCTTTTTCAGTGGACAAAGAATAGTCCCTTTAACAAATGGTGCTAGGGCAATTGGATATCCACATACAAAAAATCAAGTTGGGCCTTTTTCTCATACTGTACACAAAAATGAACTACAAATGGGCCACAGACCTAAGTGAAAGAGCTAAAAACCATAAAATTCTTAAAAGAAAATGAGAAACAAATCTTCATGACCTTGGGATAGGGAACATTAGCTTAGATATAATACCAAAAGCATAAGCAACAAGAGAAAAATAGATGAATGAGATCATCAAAATTAAAAACTTTTGTACCTCAGAAAACACCATCAAGAAGTGAGAAAACTCACAGAATGGGAGAAAATAATTCCACATCAGTTATCTGATATGGGATGCATATCTGGAATATATTCAAAACACTTACAACTCAATAATAAAAAGACAAATAACTCAATTTAAAAATAGGCAGCAAAGAATCTGAGTAGACATTTCTCCAAAGAAGATAGACAAAAATTTGACAATCACAGGAAAAATACTCAACATTATTAGTCATTAGGGAAATATGAAAATACATTAAAACCATTGAATTGTGCACTTTGAACCAATGGATTTTGTGATACCTTAATTTTATCTCAATAAAGGTTTTGAAAAAACCCTTAGAAATAATTCCTGAAATATTTATGGATAAAGCAACATGCTGTCAGGAATCTGCCATAAAATAATCTGGAAGCAATGAGAAAAGAGTAGGTTATAAGTGAAATAAGGTGGGACATGAATTAATCATTATTCTTGAAGCTAGATGATAGATACACCATAGTTATACTATTTCCTCAATTTTCAGATATGCTTGAAATTTCCCATAATAAGAAGTTAAAAATATATACTTAGGAAATCCCAAGGTGTACACAAAAACTTCTGCATGAATGTCCGTAGCAGCATTCTTCATAATATCCAAAAAATGGAAACAACCCAAATGTCCATCAACTAATGAAGATAAATAAAATGTGGCATATGCATGTAATGAAATATTATCTGTCCATAAAAAGGAATGAAATTCTAGTAAATCCTACCACATGGATGAACCTTGAAAGTATTATGCTAAGTGAAAGAAGTCAGACACAAAAAGCCATATCTTGTATGATTCCATTTATATAAAGTGTCCAGAAGAGGCAAATCCATAGAGATAGAAAGCAGATTAGTGGTTGCTTAGGGATTGGTGGAAATGTTCATGTGTTTACCATTCACTCATTAAATAATTGATGATTAAGACAATGAGTTCCTGAACAATGTTGAGGAACTGCACCTCCTCTGATAAATCCTGGTAGGCTTCCTGGAGGAGTTAGGGGACAAATAATAGACTCTGCTACAACACTGATGCTGGAAATCCTTAAAAAGGTGGGGACATTGTGTTGATGAACAACCCTGGGAGGCCTCTAGGAGGAGGAAGACTAGCATTGCTTGAGATTGCAGGAATCATAGGTTGGCTACAAAGGCAAGTTGATGCCAAGTCAAGGAATTTCCTAGCAAGGTTACCAACCAAGGGCAGAGCATCCTAAGAAAGTGGGCATAGGGCATGTGGAGGCAATTATAATTCCTCCTTTTGACACAAATGTGGACTAATATCATTTATGACACAAACATCACCAACAATCAATCATGAGTCTTGGATGAACATTCCATTTGTTCTAGCACTATGCTAGTTTGGCGAGGGAGCAGGTGGAGTCGTCAGATACAGAGGAAAGAGCTGCCAATGACCAGAGGAAAAGTGAATAATCATAACTGACATTTACCAAGCATTTGGTATGTCCCAGGCACTGCACTGAGGACTAGAAATGTTTTAATTCCTTTAATCCTCACAATGACCCTATGAGGGACATATTACTACTTTTTATACATGAAGCAAATGAGCTTAAAGGGGATAAATGACTTGACCAAAGGCATGTAGCAGTGGAGCCATGATCTGCAACCAGTGTCCAACACCTGAAATTTTATTTTTAATCCCTACACTCTATGGTCTCAGGGCAACATCAAGAGCAGAGGTGATTAAATATAGAGATCACCTGTTCTAAAAATGCTAATTTCATATAGGAAGGGAAAGTTGAAGTGAAGGTCAACGAGGCAAAATGAGTTACGCAAAAGGTATGTGAAACATAAATGTAAGGTGGGCTTCAGTTCATTATGACCATGGTGGGAAAGGAAATTTGGAACTGAATCTGCGCTCTACATTGCAAAACAAGCATATGCCGTCAGATGAAGTAAAACCAAAGTGCAATCTACCACGAATCACTGTAATTGGCCAAATAGAGTACATTCCATACGAATAAATTATTTATGAATCATTAGTGTGAATGAGTAGGTAATGGTGCATGCTGCTGGACCAGTCAGGAGTTAGAAAATAAAATATAATCATCATTGCTTACATTCATATCCAATTCCAACTGCGTTGAAGCTCATTAGACTAATACTATAGTTTCAAATATAACAGTGCAAGCTTTTCGGAAGATTTAGCTCTAACTTTTATGGAGCCAGAGCGAACTAGGGCAATAAAGCATTCTTTAGCATGGAACACCAAACATTTCTTGGGAGGGAAAACAGATTTCTATTGGCCACAGATTGGCAATGATTATCAGGACAAAGATTCATCAAAGGACAGGTCTGCTCAGTTTGGAAGGAACAGTATTATCGTGGTGGGCTCACTATAAACTCCCATGCTAAAATTTACCAGGGCCCAGAGCTGTTGAAGCTGCATGTGCTTAGTTGATATTGCACCCCAGGAAAAGGCTCCCAACTACTTTTGAGAGTGCCACAGACTGCTGAATTTTCTTCCACTCGTTACCTTCCGTATCCCTAAGACCTGTCTCTCAGAGCTCAACATCAGGTGTTTTAGAAGAGGAATGGAAATAACTGTGCAAGATATAGTTCCAAGCCTTAGTAAGTGTTCAATATCCTTGCTGAAATATAACTAATATGCATGAAACAGAGAACCAGAATATCAAGAATATAATTATATAAAGTACATAATTGAGTGATGAATGTGTTATAGGTTTTAGAAAAAGGAGAAATTAATGTGGACTACCATGATTAATGAAGATTTGACAAGAAAGACTGGACCTAGAAGGATTTAAACAAGTGAAGGCAAAAGTGCATGTACCAGGTCTTATATATTTTAGTGCTTCATGTTTTCCCATTTGAAAAATAATGGAGGTTCCACTTACTGTGTCTCACAGCTGTACATTAGCTAATGGGGGATAATGATCAAGATCCTTGAGATGAAGAGGCTGGGATGCAGAGATATCTGAAGAAGAGGACTTATCTTGTCACCCAAATAGAAAAGGCAGCAAAAGTGGGGGAATAGGCATCAAAACTCAATCAATTGCTTCCTTTAATGTAGCCTGGATTTGCCCAATGGCAAAATATCAAATGTGTACTGTATGATGTTTTTCTAGCATTTTCCTGGCCAGAACTTATATGGCTCCCCTCTCACATAATTCTTATTCTTTGGCAAACCTTGAAATCTTCAACAAGATCAAGAAATTAAATAGTGCTTCCTATGTGCCAGAGACTATTTCAAGAGCTTTAGAAACATATTGATATACTTAATCCTCTCTTTAAAAATTCTATATAATAAGTGCTATTATTATCATTTTACCAATTTTTACTGGTAAGGAAACTGAAGAAAAAGAAGCAGTGATATGGACTGAATGTTTCTGTCCCCCTGTCCTGCCCCCAATGTATATGCTGAAGCCCTAATCTCTTTTTTAAAAAAAATTATTTCCCTAGGTTTTTGGGGGAACAGGTGGTGTTTGGATACATGAGTAAGTTCTTTAGTGGGGATTTGTGAGTTTTTGGTGCACTCATAACCGAAGCAGTATACACTGCACCCAATTTGTAGTCCTTTATCCCTCACCCCCTCCCAACAATTTTCCCCTGATTCCCCAAAGTCCATTATGTCATTCTTATGCCTTTGCATCCTCACAGCTTAGCTCCCACTTATGAATGAGAACATACGATGTTTGGTTTTCCATTCCTGAGTTACTTCACTTAGAAATAACTCTCAGTCTCCAATCTCATCTAGGTTACTGCAAATGCCATTAATTCTTCCCTTTTTATGGCAGAGTAGTATTCCATTGATATGTTTTGGCTGTGTCCCCAACCAAATCTCGTCTTGAATTGTACTCCCATAATTCCCATGTGTTGTGGGAGGGACTCAGTGGGAGATCATTTGAATCACGGGGGCAGTTTCTCCCATACTGTTCTTGTGATAGTGAATAAGTCTCATGAGATCTGATGGTTTTATCAGGGGTTTCTGATTTTGCATCTTTCTCACTTTTTCTTGCCACCACTATGTAAGAAGTGCCTTTTGCATCCCACCATGATTCTGAGGCCTCCCCAGTCATGTGGAACTGTAAGTCCAACTAAACCTCTTTTTCTTCCCAGTCTCAGATATGTCTTTATCAGCAGCATGAAAATGGGCTAATACAGTAAATTGATACCAGGAGCAGGGTGCTATTGAAAAGATACCTGAAAATGTGGAAGTGACTTTGGAACTGGGTAACAGGCAGAGGTTGAAACAGTTTGGAGGGCTCAGAAGAAGACAGGAAAATGTGGGGAAGTTTGGAACTTCCTAGAGACTTGTTGAATGGCTTTTGCCAAAAGCCTGATAGTGATATGGACAATAAGGTCCAGGCTGAGGTGGTCTCAGATGGAGATGAGGAACTTGTTGGGAACTGGAGCAAAGACGACTCTTGTTATGTTTTAGCAAAGAGACTGGCAGCATTTTTCCCCTGCCCTGGAGACTTGTGGAGCTTTGAACTTGAGAGAGATGATTTACAGTATCTGGCAGAAGAAATTTCTAAGCAGCAAGGCATTCAAGAGGTGAGTTGGATACTGTTAAAGGTATTCAATGTCATAACAGAAGCAGAGCATAAAAGTTCAGAAATTTTGCAGCCTGACAATGTGATTGAAAAGAAAACCCCATTTTCTTAGGAGAAATTCAAGCCAGTTGCAGAAATTTGCATAAGTAACAAGGAGCCAAATGTTAATCCCCAAGACAATGGGGGAAAATATCTCCAGGACATGTCAGAGGTCTTCACAGAAGCCCATTCAGTCACAGGCCCAGAGGCCTAGGAGAAAATGGTTTTGTGGGCTGGGCCCAGGGTCCCTGTGCTGTGTGCAGCCTAAGGACTTGGTGCCTTGCATCCCAATTGCTCCAGCCTTGGCTGAAAGGGGCCGATGCAGAGCTTTGGCCGTGGCTTCAGAGGGTGCAAGCCCTAAACCTTGGCAGCTCCCACATGTTGAGCCTGTGAGTGCACAGAAGTCGAGAACTGGAGTTTGGGAACCTCCACATAGATTTCAGAAAATGTATGGAAACCTCTGGATGTCCAGGCAGAAGTTTGCTACAGGGGTGGGGCACTCATGGAGAACCTCTGCTAGGGCAGTGCAGAAGGGAAGTGTGGGTTGGAGCCCACACACAGAGTTCATGCTGGAGCACTGGCCAGTGGAGCTGTGAGAAGAGGGCCACCATCATCCAGACCCCAGAATGGTATCTCCACCGACAGCTTGCACCATTCACCTGGAGAAGCTGCAGACATTCAATGTCATCCTGTGAAAGCAGCTGGGAGGGAGGTTGTACTTTGCAAAGCCACAGGGGTGGAGCTGCCTAAGACCATGGGAACCCATCTCTTGTATCAGCGTGACCTAGATGTGAGACCTGGAGTAAAAGGAGATCATTTTGGAGCTTTAAAATTTGACTGCCCCACTGGATTTTGGACTTGCATGGGCCTTGTAACCCCTTTGTTTTGGCAAATTTCTCCCATTTGGAATGGCTGTATTTACCAAATACCTGTACTCCCGTTGTATCTAGGAAGTAACTAGCTTGCTTTTGATTTTACAGGCTCATAGTCAGAAAGGACTTGGCTTGTCTCAGATGAGACTTTGGACTGTGGACTTTTGGGTTAATGCTGAAATTGGTTGGGACTTTGGGGGACTATTGGGAAGGCATGATTGGTTTTGAAATGTGAGGACATGAGATTTGGAGGTCAGGGGTTGAATGATATGGTTTGGCTGTATCTCCACCCAAATGTTATCTTGAACTGTACTCCCGTAATTCCCAAGTGTTGTGGGAGGGACCCAGTGGGAGATAATTTGAATCATGGGGGCAGTTTCCCCCATACTGTTCTTATGGTAGTGAATAAGCCTCATGAGATCTGATGGTTTTATCAGAGGTTTCTGCTTTTGCATCTTCCTCATTTTCTCTTGCTGTCACCACATAAGAAGTGCCTTTTGCCTCCCACCATGATTCTGAGGCCTCCCCAGCCATGTGGAACTGTAAGTCCGATTAAACCTCTTTTTCTTTCCAGTCTCAGGTATGTCTTTATCAGCAGTGTGAAAACAGACTAATATATCCATCATGTGTCACAGTTTCTTTATCCACTCCTTGATTGATGGGCATTTGGTTTGGTTCCACATTTTTGCAATTGTGAATTGTGCTGCTATAAACTTGAGTGTGCAAGTATCTTTTTCGTGTAATGACTTATTTTCCTCTGGGTAGATACCCAGGAGTGGGATTTCTGGATCAAATGATAGACATACTTTTAGTTTTTAAAGGAATCTCCACACTATTTTCCACAGCGGTTGTACTAGTTTACATTCCCACCAGCAGTAGAGAACTGTTCCCTGTTCACCATATCTATGCCAACATCTATTATTTTTTGATTTTTTGATTATGGCCATTCTTGCAGGAATAAGGTGGTATTGCATTGTGGTTTTGATTTGCATTTCCTTGATCATTAGTGATGTTGAACATTTTTTTATGTTTGTTGGCCATTTGTATATCTTCTTTTGAGAATTGTCTATTCATGTCCTTAGCCCACTTTTTGATGGTATTGTTTGCTCTTTTTCTTGTGGATTTGTCTAAGTTCATTGTAGATCCTGGATATTAGTCCTTTGTCAGATGTATAGATTGTGAAGATTTTCTCCCACTCTGTAGGTTGTCTGCTTACTCCGCTGACTTTTCCTTTTGCCATGCAAAAGCTCTTCAGTTTAATTAAGTCCCAGCTATTTGTCTTTGTTATTGTTGCATTTGCTTTTGGGTTCTTGGTCATGAAATCCTTGCCTAAGCCAATGTCTAGAAGGGTTTTTCCGATGTTATCTTTCAGAATTTTTACAGTTTCAGGTCTTAGGTTTAAGTCCTTAATCCATCTTGAGTTGATTTTTGTAAAAGGTGAGAGATGAGGATCCAGTTTCATTCTCTTACATGTGGCTTGCCAATGATCCCAACACCATTTGTTGAATAGGGTGTCCTTCCCCCATTTTATGTTTTTGTTTGCTTTTTCAAAGATCAGTTGGCTGTAAGTATTTGGGTTTATTTCTGGGTTCTCTATTCTGTTCCATTGGTCTATGTCCCATTTTTATACCAGTACCATGCTGTTTCAGTGACTATGGCCTTATAGTATAGTTTGAAATCAGGTAATATGATGCTTCCAGATTTGTTCTTTTTGCTTAGTCTTGCTTTGGCTATGTGGGCTCTTTTTTGGTTCCATGTGAATTTTAGGATTGTTTCTTCTAGTTCTGAGAATGATGATGATATTTTGATGAGAATTGCATTAAATTTGTAGATTGCTTTTGGCAGTATGGTCATTTTCACAATATTGATTCTACAAATCCATCAGCATGGGATGTGTTTCCATTTGTTTGTGTCATCTATGATTTCTTTCAGCAGTGTTTTGTAGTTTTTTCCTTGTAGAGGTCTTTCACCTCTTTGGTTAGGTATATTCCTAAGTATTTTATGTATTTTTGCAGCTATTATAAAAGGGGTTGAGTTCTTGATTTGATTCTCAATCTGGTCACTGTTGGTGTATAGGAGAGCTACTAATTTGTGTACATTAATTTTTATTTGGAAACTTTGCTGAATTGTTTTATCAGTTCTAGGAGTTTTTTGGAGGAGTCTTTGGGGTTTTTTATGTATACTATCATATCATCAGCAAACAGCAACAGTTTGACTTCCTCTTTACCAATTTGGATGCCCTTTATTTCTTTCTCTTGTCTGATTGCTCTGGCTAGGACTTCCAGTACTATGTTGAAAAGAAGTGGTGAGAGTGGGAGAGTGGGCATCTTGTCTTGTTCCAGTTCTCAGAGGGAATGCTTTCAACTTTTCTCCATTTAATATTATGCTGGCTGTGGGTTTGTCATAGATGGCTTTTATTACATTGAAGTATGTCCCTTTTATGCCAATTTTGCTGAGAGTTATAATCATAAAGGGACGCTGGATTTTGTCAAATGCATTTGGACCTATTGAGATGATCATGTGATTTTTTTTAATTTCGTTTATGTGGTATATCACATTTATTGACTTGCATAAGTTAAACCTTCCCTGCATCCCTGGTATGAAATTCACTTGATAATGGCGGATTATCTTTTTGATGATATGTTGTTGGATTTGGTTAGCTAGTATTTTGTTAAGGATTTTTGCATCTATATTCATCTGGGATATTGGTCTGTAGGTCTGTAGTTTTATTTTTTGGTTATGTCCTTTCCTGGGTTTGGTATTAGGGTGATATTGGAAGCCATAAACTCACATGTGATGATATTTGGAGGTGGGGCCTTTGGGAAATGATTAGGTCATGAAGATGGAGGCCCTCATGCATCTGATTAGTGCCTTTATAAGAAGAGACACGAGATTCTGGGAGATGGCCAAATAGGAACAGCTTCAGTCTACAGCTCCCACTGAGACCAATGCAAAAGAAGGGTGATTTCTGCATTTCCAACTGAGACCAGGAGACTCCCTTGGATGCCTACACCACCAGGGCCCTGGGTTTCAAGCACAAAACTGGGCAGCCACCTGAGCAGACACTGAGCAAGCTGCAGGAGTTTTTGGGTTTGTTTGTTTGTTTTCCCAGACTCCAGTGGTGCCTGGAACCCCAGCGAGACAGAACTGTTCACTCTCCTGAAAGGGGGCTGAAGCCAGGGAGCCAAGTGGTCTTGCTCAATGGGTCCCACCCCCACAGAGCCCAGCAAGCTAAGATCTACTGGCTGGAAATTCTTGCTGCCAGCACAGAATCTGAAGTTGACTTGGGACACTCGAGCTTGGTGGGATGGGCATCTGCCATTACTGAGGCTTGAGTAGGTGGTTTTCCCTTCACAGTGTAAACAAAGCCACTGGGAAGGTCAGACTGGGTGTGGAACCTACTGCAACGCAGCAAAGCCACTGTAGCCAGACTGCCTTTCTAGATTCCTCCTCTGAAAGAAAGGCAGCAGCCCCAGTCAGGGGCTTATAGATAAAACTCCCAACTCCCTGGGACAGAGCACCTGGGAGAAGGGGTGACTGTGGGTGCAGCTTCAGCAGACTTAAACATTCCTGCCTGCCAGCTCTGAAGAGAGCAGCAGATCTTTCAGCACAGTGCTTGAGCTCTGCTAAGGGGCAGACTGCCTCCTCAAGTGGGTCCCTGACCCCTGTGCCTCCTGACTGGGAGACACCCCAGCAGGGGTCAACAGATACCTCATACAGCAGAGCTCCGGCTGGCATCTATCTGGCAGGTGCCCCTCTGGGACAAAGCTTCCAGAGGAAGGAGCAGGCAGCAATCTTTGCTGTTCTGCAGCCTCTGCTGCTGATACCCAGGCAAACAGAGTCTGGAATGGACCTCCAGCAAACTCCAGCAGACCTGCAAAAGAGGGGCCTGACTGTTAGAAGGAAAACTAATGAATAGAAAGCAATAACATCAACATCAACAAAAAGGACGTCCACACAAAAACCCAGTCCAAAGGTCCTCAGCATCAAAGATCAAAGGTAGATAAATCCATGAAGATGAGGAAAAATCAGCACAAAAATGCTGAAAATTCCAAAAGCCAGAATGCCTCTTCTCCTCCAAAGGATCACAACTCCTCACCAGCAAGGGAACAAAACTGGATGGAGAATAAGTTTGACAAATTGACAGAAGTAGGCTTCAGAAGGTAGGTAATAACAAACTCCTCTGAGCTAAAGAAGCATGTTCTAAGTCAACGCAAGGAAGCTAAGAACCTTGATAAAAGGTTACAGAAACTGCTAACTAGAATAACCAGTTTAGAGAAGAACATAAATGACCTGATGGAACTGAAAAACACAGCATGAGAACTTCGTGAAGCATATACAAGTATCAATAGCCAAATCGATCAAGCAGAAGAAAGGATATCAGAGATTGAAGATCAACTTAATGAAATAAAGCACGAAGACAGGATTAGAGAAAAAAGAATGAAAAGGAATGAACAAAGCCTCCAAGAAATATGGGACTATGTGAAAAGACCAAACCTGTGATTGATTGGTGTACCTGAAAGTGACAGGAAGAATGGAACCAAGTTGGAAAATATACTTCAGGATATTATCCAGGAGAACTTCCCCGATCTAGCAAGGCAGGCCAACATTCAGATTCAGGAAACACAGAGAATGCCACAAAGATACTCCTCGAGAAGAGCAACTCCAAGACACATAATTGTCAGATTCACCAAAGTTGAAATGAAGGAAAAAATGTTAAGGGCAGCCAGAGAGAAAGGTCGGGTTACCCAGAAAGGGGAGCCCATCAGATTAACAGCGGATCTCTCTGAAGAAACCCAACAAGCCAGAAGAGAGTGGGGGCCAATATTCAACATTCTTAAAGAAAAGAATTTTCAACCCAGAATTTCATTTCCAGCCAAACTAAGCTTCATAAGCAAAGGAGAAATAAAATCCTTTACAGACAAGCAAATGCTGAGGGATTTTGTCACCACCAGGCCAGCCTTCCAAGAGCTCCTGAAGGAAGTACTAAATATGGAAAGGAAAAACTGCTACCAGCCACTGCAAAAACATACCAAAATATAAAGACCAATGACACTACAAAGAAACTACATCAACTAATGTGCAAAATAACCAGCTAGCATCATGATGATAGGATCAAATTTACACATAACAATATTAACCTTAAATGTAAATGGGCTAAATGCCCCCAGTTAAAAGGCACAGACTGGCAAATTGGATAAAGAGTCAAGACCCATCAGTGTGCTGTATTCAGGAGACCCATCTCACATGCAAAGATGCACATAGGCTCAAAATAAAGGGATGGAGGAATATTTATCAAGCAAATGGAAAGCAAAAAAAAAGTAGGAGTTGAAATCCTAGTTTCTGGTAAAATAGACTTTAAATCAACAAAGATCAAAAAAGACAAAGAAGGGCATTACATAATGGTAAAGGGATCCATGCAACAAGAAGAGCTAACTATCCTAAATACACATGCACCCAATATAGGAGCAGCTAGATTCATAAAGCAAGCTCTTCAAGACCTACAAAGAGACTAGACTCCCACGCAATAATAGTGGGAGACTTTAACACCCCACTGTCAATATTAGATCAATGAGACAGGAAATTAAAAAGGATATTCAGGACTTGAACTCAGCTCTGGACCAAGTGGACCTAATAGACATCTACAGAACTCTTCACCCCAAATCAGCAGAATATACATTCTTCACAGCACCACATAGCACTTATTCTAAAATTGACCATAATTGGAAATAAAACACTCCTCAGCAAATGTAAAGGAACGGAAATCATAACAGTCTCTCAGACCACAGTGCAATTAAATTAGAACTCAGAATTAAGAAACTCACTGAAGCTGGGTGTGACAGCTCACGCCTGGAATCCTAGAACTTTGGGAGGCTGAGGCAGGTGGATCACGAGGTCAAGAGATCAAGACCATCCTGGCCAGTATGGTGAAACCCTGTCTCTACCAAAAATACAAAAAAAAAAAAATTAGCTTGGCATGGTGGCACATGCCTGTAGTCACAGCTACTTGGGAGGCTGAGGCAGGAGAATTGCTTGAACCTAGGAGGCTGAGGTTGCAGTGAGTCATGATCATGCCATTGCTCTCCAGCCTGGAGACAGAGTGAGATTCCATCTAAAAAAAAAAAAAGAAAAGAAAAAAGAAAAAAAAGAGAAACTCACTCAAAACTGCACAACTACATGGAACCCGAACAACCTGCTCCTGAATGGGTAAATAACGAAATTAAGGTAGAAATAAGTAAGTTCTTTGAAACCAATGAGAATAAAGACACAATGTACCAGAATCTCTGGGACACAGCTAAAGCAGTGTTTAGAGGGAAATTTATAGCACTAAATGCCCACAGGAGAAAGTGGGAAATATCTAAAATCGACACCTTAACATTACAATTAAAAGAACTAGAGAAGCAAGAGCAAACAAATTCAAAAGCTAGCAGAAGACAAGAAGTAACTAAGGTCAGAACAGAACTGAAGGAGACAGAGACGCAAAAAACCCTTCAAAAAAAATCAGTGAATCCAGGAGCTGGTTTTTTGAAAAGATTAACAAAACAGATAGTCCACTAGCCAGACTAATAAAGAAAAGAGAGAAGAACCAAATAGACACAATAAAAAAAGATAAAGGGGATATCACCGCTGATCCCACAGAAATACAAACTACCATCAGAGAATATTATAAACACCTCTACACAAATAAACCAGAAAATTTAGAAGAAATGAATAAATTCCTGGACACATATGCTTTCCCAAGACTGAACCAGGAAGTAGTTGAATCCCTGAATAGACCAGTAACAAGTTCTGAAATTGAGGCAGTAATTAATAGCTTACCAATCAAAAAAAGCCAGGTCCAGATGGATTCACAGCCGAATTCTACCAGAGGTACAAAGAGGAGCTGGTACCATTCCTTCTGAAACTATTCCAATAAATACAAAAAGAGGGATTCCTCCCTCACTCATTTTATGGGGCCAGCATCATCCTGATACCAAAACCTGGCAGAGACACAACAAAAAAAGAAAATTTCAGGCCAATATCCCTGATGAACATTAATGTGAAAATCCTCAATAAAATACTGGCAAACCAAATCCAGCAGCACATAAAAAAGCTTATCCACCACAATCAAGTTGGCTTCATCCCTGGGATGCAAGGCTGGTTCAACATACGCAAATTAATAAACGTAATCCATCACTTAAACAGAACCAATGACAAAAACCACATGATTATCTCAATAGATGCAGAAAAGGCCTTCAATAAAATTCAACACCCCTTCATGCTAAAAGCACTCAATAAACTAGGTATTGATGGAACATATCTCAAAATCATAAGAGTTATTTATGACAAACCCACAGCCAATATCATAGTGAATGGGCAAAAGGTGGAAGCATTCCCTTTGAAAACCGGCACAAGACAAGGATGTTCTCTCTCACCACTCCTATTGCACGTAGTACTGGAAGTTCTGGCCAGGGCAATCAGGCAAGAGAAAGAAATAAAGGGTATTCAAATAGGAAGAGAGGAAGTCAAATTGCCTCTGTTTGCAGAAGACATGATTGTATATTTAGAAAACCCCATTGTCTTAGCCCAAAAACTCCTTAAGCTGATAAGCAACTTCAGCAAACTCTCAGGATACAAAATCAATATGCAAAAATCACAAGCATTCCTATACACCAATAATAGACAAACAGCCAAATCATGAGTGAACTCCCATTCACAATTGCTACCAAGAGAATAGAATATCTAGGAATACAACTTACAAGGGATGTGACGGACCTCTTCAAGAACTACAAACCACTGCTCAAGGAAGTAAGAGAAGACACAAACAAATGGAAAAACATTCCATGCTCATGAATAGGAAGAATCAATATAATGAAAATAGCCATACTGCCCAAAGTAATTTATAGATTCAATGCTATTCCCATCAAGCTACCATTGACTTTCTTCACAGAATTAGAAAAAACTACTTTAAATTTCATATGGAACCAAAAAAGAGCCCATATAGCTGAGACAATCCTAAGCAAAAGAAACAAAGCTGGAGGCATCATGCTACCTGACTTCAAACTATATTACAAGGATAGAGTAACCAAAACAGCATGGTACTGGTACAAAAACAGATATATAGACCAGCGGAACAGAACAGAGGCCTCAGAAATAACACCACACATCTACAACCATCTGATCTTTGACAAACCTAACAAAAACAAGCAATGGGGAAAGGATTCCCTATTTAATAAATGATGTTGGGAAAACTGGCTAGCCATATGCAGAAAATTGAAACTGGACCCCTTTCTTACACCTTATACAAAAATTAACTCAAGATGGATTAAAGACTTAAACGTAAGACCTAAAACCATAAAAACCCTAGAAGAAAACCTAGGCAATACCATTCAGGAAATAGGCATGGCCAAAGACTTCATGACTAAAACACCAAAAGCAATTGCAGCAAAAGCCAAAATTGACAAATGGGATCTAATTAAACTAAAGAGCTTCTGCACAGCAAAAGAGACTATCGTCAGAGTGAACAGGCAACCTACAGAATGGGAGAAAATTTTTGCAATCTATCCATCTGACAAAAGTCTAATATCCTGAATCTACAAGGAACTTAAACAAATTTACAAGCAAAAAACAAACAACCCCATCAAAAAGTGGGTGAAGGATATGAAGAGACACTTCTCAAAAGAAGACATTTATGCAACCAACAAACATACGAAAAAGAGCTCATCGTCACTGGTCATTAGAGAAATGCAGATCAGAACGACAATGAGATACCATTTCATGCCAGTTAGAATGGTGATCATTAAAAAGTCAGGAAACAACAGATGCTGGAGAGGATGTAGAGAAATAGGAACACTTTTACACTGTTGGTGGGAGTGTAAATTAGTTCAACCATTGTGGAAGACAGTGTGGCGATTCCTCAAGGATCTAGAACCAGAAATACCATTTGACCCAGCAATCCCAGTACTGGGTATATACCCAAAGGATTATAAATCATTCTACTATAAAGACACATGCACACGTTATGTTTATTGCAGTACTATTCACAATAGCAAAGACTTGGAACCAACCCAAATGCCCATTAGTGATAGACTGGATAAAGAAAATGTGGCACATATACACCATGGAAAACTATGCAGCCATAAAAAATAATGAGTTCATGTCCTTTGCAGCGACATGGATGAGGCTGGAAACCATCATTCTCAGCAAACTAACACAAGAACAGAAAACCAAACACCGCATGTTCTCCCTCATAAGGGGGAGTTGAACAACAAGAACATGTGGACACAGGGAGGGGAACGTCACACACTGGGGCCTGTTGAGGGGTGGGGGGGCAAGGGGAGGGATAGCATTAGGAGAAATACCTAATGTAGATGACGGGTTGATGGGTGCAGCAAACCACCATGGCACATGCATACCTATGTAACAAACCTGCATGTTCTGCACATGTATCCCAGAACTTAAAGTATAACTTAAAAAAAAAGAAGAAAAAGAGACACAAGACAGATGATCTCTCTCTGCCATGTGAGGATACATTGACAGGACAGCTGTCCACAAGCCAGAAAGAGATCTCGCACCAGGAACTAAATCAACTGGCACCTTGATATTGGACTTCCAGACGCCAGAACTGTGCTAAATAAATATCTATTGTTCAAGCCACCCACTTAGGTAGCAGCTAAGTTCAAGCCACTTAGATAGCAACTCTATCTAAGACAATTAGCTTATCCAAGGTATCACAGCTAGTGAATGGAAGTAGTAGATTTAAATAAAGACAGTCTAACTGGAGACCTTACACTTAACCTCCAAGCTATAATACAATCCCCCAGTGCACCACTGGGATACTGTGCAACTGCTTGGCATCGCCAATCAAAGGAAGAGACAGCAAAAGTCTCTCCCAGATAGAAATGTTGCAAAAGGTGCTGTGCAGGAGGTGTCCACAGACGACAATTTCACTGGAGTATCAGCAAGGGTAAGGAAGCCACCTTGACTATCTAGAGACCCCAACAGTGATTCCAGAGCCTACTGTGGAGGCCATGGCTGGAGAGAGTTGAACAACAGAAGAAAGGATAACAATGGTGTGAGGAGAGATGAGGAAGTGGAGCAGCAAGGATGGATGCAAAGTGGGGTAACAGCGTAGGAAGGGTTGCAATGCAGGGCAGTACCTTAGCGACTCTGGACTCATTTCTTTTCATTGAAATAAAATTTCCTGGCAACAAATTATCCCAGTTTCTAAGGTCTTTTGTCTATGCTGAAATGCAATGAACCACAATGAGGGTGTTCTCAAAATTGGTAAGGTACCAGCACAAGCTGGGAAATCTTTTGCTTACTTAAATTTTCATGATGAGGTTGACCAGGGTGTGTTTGTAAATCCTTGGCACATTCACAGAGGCATGTCCTGAGTCTTCCTCTTCCAGACACTGTTGACTCCACTGGCAGATATTAATATTGAAACATGTTTGGGTGGAGGCTCTGGGAAAATAGATGAAGAACAGCCCCTGCCCTCAAGGGGTTCACAGTCTAGGGAACACTCAGACACTTACATGATCAATGGCAATACAGTGACCCTGAAAATAGGACAAAAGGTGCCAAAAAAAAAAAAGCACTGACAGGAAAAGCCTGACTATTCAAGAAAGTTTCAGGGAGAAAGTGTCATGGCTGACTTTTGCAAGACAAATAAGAGTCGGCCAGTTGGAGAAGGATAAAGGATGGATGTTGGCGGCAGAGGAGATGGCTGGATGAAGATGGGGATGCATAAAAGAGCATGCTGAATTCAAGCACTTATAAAGTGAAGATAGATCCTATTCTGAAGATCCTGTTTATTGCTCATTTTCTTTTATTCGCACTTAGGGATAGTTAGTAACAGATCAGTGGTAGGTGATGCGGAGAAGAGTAAATTGGTAACATTCTACGCATATTCCCTGCATTATAAAATACTCCCCTTCAGTTGAAAAATACAATGTAAAACTCTGGATCTATCTATAACTGTCTCCCAAATTGCTTTTTGTCTTCTGAGTCACTGCAGGGGTTTCGTGCACCTCCTTTGTACCCGTGAAACCCAACCCCTTCCTAGGATGGCAATAGCACCAGCTCCAAGTCTCTTATTTCCTGTCAATGGCAAATTCCTCCCTAATCTGATTACTACTTTGTTATTAGACTCTATTTTCATATTACCCTTTTTAGCATATAGATGGAATTTTTAGTTTTTTCTAAATGCTTCAGATAATCTTTATCCCTTTAAACACCCTTTAAATGCTTTTTCAATGAATGTTACTCATTACCATGAGATTCGTTCCCCTCTGGTTCTTTTCAAAGGGCAGAGCATTGAGGAGATAACAGATTTTGACAAGTTATTAAAGAAGGGTTAAGTCCACAGATTTCATTGTATTTTCTCACACAGAGTCTGGAGTAATATTTTATATTTATTTTGTTACATGGGGCCTTATCATATAATCCCCCCACCTGTCACCACCACCAAAGGAACCTACTATGTGGGAGTTCCTGTGACAATATGTGGCTTGCGAGTTGCCTGAAAGAGATCAGAGAGTATCTTAGAAACAAAGTAGAATTTGTCTCTCTCTGATCACGATAACCAGAAATGGAAAAGAACACTGAACCAAAAATAGTAGCACCATTTACTCTGACAGAATAGGAAACTAGCAGCTTCTGCTTGTGAGTTTTAGGATCTCGAGCAAGCAACACCTCTGTGACTCCTTTTACTCATCTGTCAAACAGAAAGGATGATATAGATGCAAATGTATTTCCCTAAACAGAATCCAGAATTAGTACAATTTTCAGTCCAATTTATACAGCTCTGCATTTTACCAAAAGAAAGGACTAAAATAGTGGAGTAGTCCACCAGCCAAATGGTGAGCAGAGATTGCCACGGGCTTTAATAAGATTCTATTTATAGTCAGAATTCCGGAGCCATATTCACCATTGTCTGTTAGATAAAATAAATACCTGATTATTGTATACACCATTTACAGTGTAGCTTTAATAGAACATTCTAACACAGAAATGAGCAATCTTTAAGAGTTAGATGTTATGTGGGAAGGTAGAAAAATCACATGCTTTGGAGTCCAAAAATGTGGTTCCTATTCTCTGCTTGGTTTCTTTGTGAGTCTCACACCCACCATAGCCTAAGTCATTAGTTCCCAAACTTTGTCACATGGGTATCCCTCTCTGCAAAAAGGAGCAAACAGGTTGCTTGCCCAGGAATTTGGGGGAGATCCTGGAACCACATCTTGTCATCAGAACATCCCCCGTTGAAAATATTCTGATTTACTGTAAAAATCTATTTGACCTTTGTGGTTGAATCCCTTTTATATGTATTCTTGGTTTCTAAATAAAAATGTTTAAAATTCATTATTGTCATCTAAAATTTTTAAAAGTTGTTCAGAGCTGTCCCTCATGTAGCCTCCATTTCCTCACCTCCCTTCACTTTTAAAATTATTTCTGGCCAAGCACAGTGGCTCACGCCTGTAATCCCAACACTTCGGGAGGCTGAGGAGGAGGATCACTTGAGGCTGAGTTCAAGACCAGCCTGGGCAACAGAGTAAGACCCCATCTCTACAAAAACATTAACAATTAGCCGAGTGTGGTGGTACATACCAATAATCCCAGCTACAAGGAAGTCTGAGGCAGGATAACTTGAGCCCAGGAGTTTGAGTCTGCAGTGAGCTGTGATGGTACCACTGCACTCCAGTCTGGGCAACAGTGAGACCCTGCCTCAAACAAACAATCAAAATATATATATACACACACACACACATATATATATACATATATATACACACATATATATATACATATATATACACACATTTGTATTTTAAAAATCCATGTATATATTTTTTAAAATTCAAATATTACTACAAAGTATTTATTGAAAATATAGTCCCCTTACTTACTCTCTAAGTCCAAGTCTGCTGACCAAGGGCAAATACTTTCCATTTTTTTAGCTTTCTCTTTGGATATTTATGGTCATATTTTAAAATAATATTCTTGGACTCTATGGAACTGAACACACAGCATGTAATCTTCTGCACATTGAATTTTTTGTTCAATGTTATATGTGTAAGAGGCAGCCATGTGGTTCATTTACTTTAATTACATGTTGTGTTGTTGCGTAACATTTGGTTCAATAATTATACCACAATTTACATATCAATTCTCGAGATTGGTCACTTGAACTCTTTCTACATTTTTGCCATTCTAAGCAATTTACTATGAACGTCCTTATACATGTCTCCAAGGAATACAGGCAAGATTTTCTTTCCATCCTGAGATGTAGAATAGCAGGATCACCAATATACATATTATCAACTTGTGTGTTTCACTTTCTTTATAAAAAAGAAATTCTTTCTTTAAAATTTTATTTTTAAAGTTTTAATTACTATGGGTACATAATAGTTGTATATATTTATGGGGTACATGTGATATTTTGATGCAGGCGTACGACATGTAAGGATCAAATCGAAGTAATTGGGGTATCTATCTCCTCAAACATTTTTCATTTCTTTGTGTTAGGAATATTCCAATTTTACTCTTTTAGTTATTTTTAAATATAGAGAAGTTATTATTATTATTATTATTTTGAGACAGGGTCTCACTCTGTCATCCAGGCTGGAGTGCAGTAGCATGATCTCAGCTCACTGCAACCACCACCTCCTGGGCTCAAGTGATCCTCCTGCCTCAGTCTCCCAAGTAGCTGGGACTACAGGTGCATGCCACCATGCCCAGGTAATTTTTGCAGTTTTTGTAGAGATGAGGTTTCCCCAGGTGGGCCAGGCTCGTCTCGAACTCCTGACCTCAAGTGATCTGCCCACCTCGGCCTCCCAAAGTGCTGAGATTACACATGAGTCACCACACCCAGCCAAATTATTGTTAACTATAGTCACCCTATTGTGCTACTGAATAGAAACCAAAATTCTTAATATAAAAGTAGGCAAATTCATCAGTCTTAGCTTTATGATTTGTCCTTTTCTTATGTATTCAGAAGTTGTTTCTTACTCTAAAATCATGAAAACATTCTTCCATTTATTTGTAAATAAGTCCTGAATCCACCTGTGATTTATTTTTGAGTACTGTGTGCCTATTTCCTCTTCGAACCCTCTCATCTGGCTCCCACTTCCACCACATAACTGAAAGTGCTCTTGGGAAGGTAACCAATGGCTTCTACATTGCTTTATTCAATTCTCCTTTCCAGGCCTTATCTTAGATAATCACTCAGCAACTTTTGACACAGACGACGACTCCTCCTTTGTGAAAGATCTGTTCTTGGCTTCCATGAAACCACATTCTCCTAGTTTTTCTTTTACACATCAGGCAGCTCCTTCACCTTTGCATGTCTCTGTTCCCTTCTTGACCTCCCAGGTTCAAGCAGTTCTCCTGCCTCAGTCTCCCGAGTAGCTGGCCCTCTCTTCTTCTCTTTCTATGCTGTTTTTCCAGGCAATCTCGTCCATTCTAAGGGCTTTGTGCTGATGATCCTTAACATTGAATCTCTAGCCTATACCTTCCTCCTGAGCTCCAGCCTTGTAACCCCTTATGGATGTCTCTTGGCATCCAAAATTATTATGCCTAAAACTGAACCCTTGATCTGCCTTTCCCAATTCCATAAATGTCACCCACATCCACCCTGACATATACCAAATATCTGCTGAGGTCTTCCTTGACATCTCCCTCAACATCCAGCACAATAGCGAGTCTTACTGAGTCTCACTAAAAGGCATCTGAAATCTGTACACCTCTCTCTATGCTCACTACCAAGCATTCATTATCACCCAATGACTCCTAATCATTCCCCCTGCTTTAACTCTTGTTGCCTCCAATTTTTTTCCCAGATGAAAGCCAGAATGATCTCACAAAAATATAATTGGATCCATGTCAATCATCCATATAAAACCCTTCAAAACTTATTATTGCAGTTAGGATAAAAATCCCAAATCCTTTATGTGGGCTAGAGGATACCTTACATCAAATGACACCAGCCTCTTTATATATAATCCAGTATACCTTAAGGTCAACTTACAACACTCTTTCCCCATTTGTTTTTTTGTTTGTTTGTGTCTCTCTTCCCTCAAGCTTCAGGTTAAGTGTCCTCCCCTCTGTTATATGATCTCGTAGTAACTTGACTTTCCTTTATATCATCTAATATGATTTGTGATTAGATGTTTGTCTGAAAATTAACTTATTTTCTGTATCCCCACTAGATCCTGACTTCCTGGGGGCAAGAACCATGTCTGCATTATTATTATTATTTCTCCCATACACCCTGGGCCTAGAACAGTGCCTACTCATGTTGGGAACCCAATAAGCCCTGTTAAACACCGAGGGCACATGGAGAAGGCAATGCCCCTCTCTTCACTGAGAAGACTCATAATCTCGCAGAGTTCCTAGCAGCTGAGACTCAGAGTCTTGGGGCTGCATTCCTGTTTCCAGGAAGATGATGCTGGGGAATTCACTCCTCATGACTTCATCTTCCTTTTTTTTTTTTTCTGAGACAGAGTCTTGCTTTGTCACCCAGGCTGGAGTGCAGTGGCGAGATGTCAGTTCACTGCAGCCTCTGCCTTCTGGGTTCAAGCCACTCTCCTGCCTCAGCCTCCCAAGTAGCTGGGATTACAGGCACGCACCACCACACCCTGCTAATTTTTGTGTTTTTGTAGAGACGGAGTTTCACCATGTTGGCCAGGGTAGTCTTGAACTCCTGACCTCAGGTGATCCACCCGCCTCAGCCTCCCAATTAAAGTGCTGGGATTACAGGAGTGAGCCACTGCCCCCTGCCTGGGCTTCATCTTCCTTATCCGGAAGCTTCCCCTTTCCCTGCTCCTGTTTACATCCCCTGCCCCATAATTCCCACTACACTCCCTTTTGGGGCTAGGATTTCTTTATAAGGGAGCAGACAGCAGAAGCAGATAAATTTTCCCCACAGAAGACTGCCTGACTGTACAGGCTGTGTACACTGATTATTATTGTTACTTTAAATCGGAAATGTAATTAGTGTATTAGTACTTAATTGTATAGTAGTCTATTAGTAGCACAAAATCCATTCACCTAAGATTATTCTTGTAGGTGATTTGGACACAATAAAGTCAAGCTTATTACTATTTCATCATCGCTGTGGTATTATTGCCCCCTGGTGGCTATGCTAATTACTTAGCCCTGACCGACTGGGAGCTATTGCTCTTCAAACAGCAGCCGGGATGTTCCCGGAGGATTGTGGTACTTGCTTCTCTCCAAACAAACCTAGAGACAATCCGGGCGCGGTGGCTCACGCCTGTAATCCCAACACTTTGGAAGGCCAAGGTGGGTGAATCACTTGAGGTCAGGAGTTCGAGACCAACCTGGCCAACATGGTGAAACCCTGTCTCTACTCAAAATGCAACAATTAGCCGGGGCGCACACCTGTAATCCTGGTTACTTAGGAGCCTGAGGCAAGGGAATCGCTTGAACCGGGAGGGGGAGATTGCAGTGAGCCAAGATCATGCCACTGTACTCCAACCTGGGTGACAGAGTGAGGCTCTATTTCAAGAAGAATAAGAAAAAAACCAAAAACTAGAGACAAAAAGGGCATGAGAGCATTTTTTTTAATGAAAGTCTCTATGTCAACCCCACCCACACCTTTGTCTTTAGGGTGACCCACTCCAACCCTTTACTCCCCTTCCCCTAGACTTTTCTGTCTCTTCTTAGGCATCATTCAGTCTGGCAAACAGCTAGAGTCATGAAGCCATGTGGTCTCCAAGAACAACAGTTGGCGATCCCCAGTTTTGAGAACACCTGTAGTTCAACCTGATAGGCAGCATTTCCATGGCCTTAGGCTTTCAGGCAGCAAAAAAGTTTCAAATGTATGAAATCACAGAAGCACTGCCAGTCATCAGCCAGGTGAAGTTACCTATGATAATTACTGTGCACTCTTAGGAAGTGTCACCTGTGCACTTCGGTTTCATGTTTCCAAATGCATACTCACTCTTCAAATCAGAAACTTACCCACAAGACACAATTCAGCCACTCAAAATTGTACAGCCTGGTTCTAGCCTTTAAGATGAAATAGGAGAAGGTGGATATGGGGAATTTTGTGTCTAATCGATAGAAAATGCTTTGGCCAAGTTGAAAATATATATATATAGCAGTTTTTGCTATATGTTCTTTCCAACAGAGAGAAGCATTTCCAAAAAGCCAGAGGTAGTTGCTTTTATCCATAATGAAAGCAATTCAGTTAAATGGTCGTTCACAAAGCAGAACTTGGCGTGGAACCCAGGGTTCCTTGCTGCCTGCATTCCCATTTTTTTCTCTCTAGCACTGAATTAAGAATCAGACAGCAACTGGCTCTGATTCTTGATCCCTTTGTTACTAGCTGTGTAAGGCAAGTTATTCAAGGATTTCTGAGCCTCGGGATCTTCCCTTTATATCCATAAAATGGGTATAATAATACCTACCTTATATGTTTGTTGTAAAGAACTTATGCCAGGCACGTATTAACCATTCAAGAGGCAGTAGCTGTCATCATTACCGTAATTATTCTTATAGTTATTCAAGACCTTATGGTTGATCTCAAGGAAGAAAATAACAAAAAGCCAGTCAAAGCTCATTGTTTGCATTGGAGAACAATATTTAGTTACTTAGAAGACATTGTGAGTAACAACTGACAAATGATATCCTTCCCCTGCCCTCTTTTTCTGTCTCTCTGTGGCAGGTGGAATTCTCAAATGGACCCTAAAATTCCAGGCCCCTGGTATATGACCCTGAATAATCCCTTTTCTTTGGATGTGGGTAGAGCCTGTGATTATGATGGAATGTCACACTCATGAACAGGTTACACTGTATGGTAAAGGGGAAGGCATTCTGCAGATATAATTAGGGTTTCACATCAGTTGATTTTTGAGTTCATTGAAGGAGATATTATCCTGGGTGGGCCTGACCAAATCAGGTGAGCCCTTAATTTTTATTTTATTTATTTATTTATTTATTTATTTATTTATTTATTTATTTATTTATTTATTTTGAGACAGAGTCTAGCTCTGTTGCC
This sequence comes from Homo sapiens, assembly GCF_000001405.40. NCBI lineage: Eukaryota > Metazoa > Chordata > Mammalia > Primates > Hominidae > Homo > Homo sapiens. The sequence continues at coordinate 17,088,456 of NC_000006.12, forward strand.
CAAGCTAGAGTGCAGTGGTGTGATCTCGGCTCACTGCAGCCTCCACTCTCCGGGTTCAAACAATTATCTTGCCTCAGCCTCCCCAGCCTCCTGTAGTAGCTGGGACTACAGGCACGCACCACCACGCCCAGCTAATTTTTTGTATTTTAGTAGAGACAGAGTTTCAACATCTTGCCCAGGCTGGTCTCAAACTCCTGAGCTCAGGCAGTCTGCCCGCCTCAGCCTCCCAAAGTGCTAAGATTACAGGTGTGAGCCACTGCACCCGGCCTGAGCCCTTTAAAGGAGGCTCTAGAGGTTGGAGACAGGAGAAGCAGAGCTCTCTCTTGCTGGCCTTGAAGAAGCAAGTTGCTGTGAGTTCCACAGCTGCAAGGAAATGAATTCTGCCCATAATCACATGAGCTTGGAAAAGGATCTCAAGTCCCAGATGAGACCCCAGCCAACATCTTGATTGCAGCTCATGAGGCCCTGAGCAGAAGACCCAACGAAGTCATGCCTGGACTCCTGACCATGAAACTGTGAGAAAATAAATATGTGTGGTTTTAAGCCACTGAATTTGTGGAAATTTGTTATGCAGGTATAGAAAACGAATACACTCCAATACCTCGAAAAATATTAACATGGTATTCACTGGTGTTTAATTTCACAAAGAACTAGGAAAAGAGCCCAGATGTCAAGACTCTTATCCCAGTATTTGATTGCTTCTTTGACTTGTGGGTTATTTATAGAATATTTTTAGTTTCCAAATAGTTGGGAGCTCATCCAGAGATCACGTTACTGGTTTTTACATTATACTTCCAGTATGTTTCCATTTCTCCCTTCCTGGTCTCTGTTCTGTCATCGTCATCACATATTGTACATTCACATATGCCATGAACTCCACACTGTATTGTTATTATTGATCTTTAAACAATGAATTCTCTTTAAAGAAAACTAAGAAATAAGAAAAACTCATATTTACACATGTAGTTACCATTTCCAGTGTTTTTCATTCCTTTGTATAAATCCATAGTTCCATTTGGTATCATTTTCCTTCCACTTGAAGGACTTAACATTTCTTATATATGGGTCTGCTGGTGATGAGTTCTTTCAGTTTTTGTATGCCTAAAAACGTATTCATTTAGCCTTTGTTTTGAAGAGATATCTTCACAGGGTATAAAAGTATAGGTTGCCACATTTTTCTTTCAATATTTTACAATGCTTAGTACTTTAAAGTACCTTGGCACATAGCATGTTTTATTTCTCTGTCTGCTTTTAAGATTTTTCTTTTTATCACTGGTTTTGAGAAATTTGATAAAGATGTTCCTTGATATAGTTTTTTTTTTTTAATGTTTCTTGTGCCAAGGGTTCCTTGGGTATCTTGGATTTGTGATTTTATCATTTTCATCAAATTTGGAATTTGATGCCCATTATTTTTTCAAAATTTTTTCTGTTCCCACCTCCTGCCCTTGCCCCCACCTTATCTTCTCTCCTTTGGGGACTCCAATTACATGTATATTCAGTTGTGTGACGTTTTTCTTCAGTTCACTTTCACTGTGTTCATTTTTGTTCTTAGTCTTTTTTCTCTGTAGGTTTGATTTCGGATAGTTTCTCTTGCTATGCCTTCAAGTTCATTAATCTTTTCTTACGCAAAGTCTAACTGATCATTAATTCTACTCAGTGTATTTATTTAAATACATTGTATTTAATATTTCCTGTAGCTCTTTGAACATATGGAATACAGTAATAATAAGTTTTAATGCCCTCATCTGCTAATTTGAACATCAGCTCTGGGTCGATTTTGATCAGTTTATTTTTCTCCTAATTGTGGGTCACATTTTCCTGCTTCTTTGCATGCCTGCTAAGTTTTGTATTAGATGTCCGACATTATCAGTTTTACCTTATGGGTGCCACATAGTTTTGTGTTCCTATAAATATTCCTGAACGTTGTTTTGAGAGGCAGTTCCATTAGTTCAGTCCTTGCTTTTGCAATGTGTTAGGTGGGACCATAGCAATGTTTAGTGTAGGGCTAATTTTTCCCCACTAGCAAGGCCAAACCCTCGTGAGTTTTCTGGTCTGGTTGGTAAGAACAAGCACTGTGAGAGCTCTGATTATTATAGCCTCTAGGCCTTTCTGTAGTTATTTCCCCAACCTCAGGCAGCTTTCTCATATGCATGTATTGACCAGTCCTCTATGGAATATTCAAGGGGATCCTCTGCAGCTCTCCGGAATTCTCCCTCTATCTCCTATCAGCTACTTTGCCGTGCAAACTCTAGCCACTTTTTCCTTCCTTGATTCTCAGCTCCTTCTCCTCAATTCAGGCAATCCACAGGGCTCCGCTGGGGTTTCCTCTCCCTGCACTACCATCTATAAACGTCTTCAAGGTAGTTAGCTGGGATTAATCATAGAGCTCACCCTCTCAGCTTTCCATCTCTCAAGGATCACTGTCCTTCATCGCCTGATGTCCAATGTCTTGACAACCATTGTTTTATATATTTTGGATTTTTTATTAATTTTTTTTCCTTGAGAGGGTAAATCTAGTGTTTGTTACTCTATCTTGACTGGAAGCAGAAGTCTATCTGAACCATGTTGCATCAGAAGAAAGGGCAGAAGGTGAGAGTCATCATTCTATTGAATTTCTAGAAGCTGTCTAGATATATGATAATCATACAATTGAGATAGTTTTTCTGTTTTACTCCCGGTTTTTTTTTTACATAATAGACTGAGAAAAGGGAACAGGTCAGATGCATCTATTTTTCTCTTGCAGGAATTTATAAATATTTTTAAACTTGTTTTCCTAACAGAATGAGAAATAAAAGAATTCTAAAATTATTGGTGACTTTAACTCAAAGCAAGCCAAAAGTCTAAGAAGATAACAAGCTGAATTTTTCCCTCTAGTGGTTTGAGGTGATACCACATCTGCTCTGAGCCATTGAAAGTACAATCTTACTACATTATGTAGAATCCTTTGAAATTAAGATTCTCCCTGCTAGGCGAACATCCTTGCTAAGATCACTGCAAATATCTATCACTGTTGTCCGTTCTGCATTTATCTGGTAAATATTCAGTCTAATTAATAGTCAGTTGGGATTAACTCTAAAGGGGAACAAGAATAAACTCAGCAGGAAAGTTTTAGGCCCTCCCATTGTGGAGAATTCTTCAATTACTCCTTTTAAGTTTTCAGAGACTGCGCTAAAAAGGACTGATGATGCTGTTAGCTATAAAACCTGTCAGGGGAGAAGAATGTTCCCTGCTGCAGTGTTTGCTGAAGTTACATCAATGTCTGAGCAACATCCCCATCACTAAGAACACCACCTGGTTGTAAAGTAAACTATATTTGGAAAAAAAGAAAAAACGAAGGCATTTTGTCATGCAATATGGTATCATCCTCTGCTGAGTGCCAGAGAAATTCTACAAATGGAATAAGAACTAGCAGGATCTGGCCGGGCGCAGTAGCTCAGGCCTGTAATCCCAGCACTTTGGGAGGCCAAGGCGGGTGGATCATGAGGTCAGGAGATCGAGACCATCCTGGCTAACATGGTGAAACCCCATCTCTACTAAAAATACAAAAAAAATTAGCCGGGCGTGGTGGCGGGCGCCTGTAGTCCCAGCTACTTGGGAGGCTGAGGCAGGAGAATGGCGTGAACCCGGAAGGCGGAGCTTGCAGTGAGCCGCCATCGCACCACTGTACTCCAGCCTGGGCGACAGAGCGAGACTCCGTCTCAAAAAAAAAAAGAAAGAACTAGCAGGATCTGTGCAGGCGTGGTAGACTTAGGGGCAACAGGAGCAACCCATATCCTAGGCTTGTACCTCGATAAATTATCCCCTTTTTGACTCTGTTGTACCTCAAACAATCAGTATATTAACACGTGACCTCCTCAAGAACAAAAACTAGATGGTACTATTTAATACTTCTTTTGGGGTCCCACCCAGTCCTAACAGCAATGATGCTGACATTGGCTACCTCTCTGACCTTGTCCCTACATCTCCCAAACCCCCATGCAGCCACATTGGCCTTTATGCAGTCCCTCACATGTGCCAAATATGCTTCTACCACAGGGCGCTTTCACTTGCTGTTCCCTCTGCTTGGAGCATTCCACTCACTTCCATCTGTAACAGTCATTTCTTCTCTGCTTTTCCTGACGCTCCAGCCTAAAATCACACCACCCTCCAGTACTTTCCATCCTTTTCCAACCTTTATTTTCTGCCCAGCCCTTTTTACCACCTCACATGATATATATTCACTTATGTGTTTATTCTGTTGACCCTTAAACAATAAGGCACTTGAAGGCAGGGGTTTTATTTTGATCTTCCTGTCTCCCCAGCACCTGAGACAGCAGCTAGTGCACAGTTGGGGCTCAATAAATACTTGCTGAATGAATAAATAAGCAAGCATGTAGAACAAATTGTGAGCTAAACACAAGTGTGTGCATCATAAGGAAACTGGCTTGGTTAGATGGAAGTAGCAAATGATGGTTGGTTATAAAGTTAAAATTTAACACAGCACGCGATTGGAGACACTATTGGAGTTTGTTTGTATGGGGTCAGCTGAGATGCGGAGTAGCAATCTAGGAAGGCAATGAAGAAGGATTCATGGGAAAATTGAGGCTGGTTGAGTCTGAGACACTCCCTCAAGAAAGGCTTAGTACGAAGATCCCAATCATGAATCCTGCAAAACATTTCTCAGCAGGCTGATGTACAGTTGTCCCTCGATCTCCCCAGGTTCCAGGACCCTGCAGACACCAAAATCCATGGATGCTCAAGTCCCTTATATAAACTGACATATCATTTGCATACAAACTACACACATCCTCCCATATGCCTTAAATCCTCTCTAGATTATTTACAATACCTAATACAGTGTAAATGCTATATAAGTACTTGTTATACTGTATTGTTTTTGATTAGCATTATTTTTTATTGTTGTATTCTTATTTTATAAATTTTTAACCTGTGGTGGCTGAATCTGTGGATGCGGAACCTGCAGACACCAGATACCCAGATACCCAGATACCAAGGGCCAACTGTGTACCCTGTGGAATGTGAAACAGCATAACCTTTTTTTGACCGACACTCTTACTTAATATTAGCACCTGGAAGTGTGGTGGCAAGGTAAGTAACCACATTTAAAAACTGGCCTGAACAGTAGCTGCACAGGACCATTTACAAACTGAGCTAGAGCTTTCCACTGGCACATTCCCCTTCCAAGATGGCACCGACTTTGTTATTTTATTTTTTTTAAGAATAAATGACATTTTCATATTCGCAGTGCATCAGTCTCACCGGGGCTCCTCTACTGGCTTAATGGTTGTCATTACAAGGATTCCATCTGCCGACTCACAGCTGAAAGGTGGGCCAACAGGAGGGCCCAGCTGAGCACTTAATAGGTGCATAATACACGTTTCAGAAATTAAAAGTGGCAGAGCCACTTCTGCAAGCAATGACGCTGGTGCCACCTGGTGTGAGGATGAAGCCCCTTCAGGCAGAGGAAGGTTGAAGAATGGAATTTCTCTTTACCAGTGGAGGCTGGTCCCCAGCACACTCATCTGTTTGGGAAAGGTGTCCCAAACCTTTCTCAATCCATCATCTGTTTGGGAAAGGTGTCCCAAACCTTTCTCAATCCATCTCTCTCTCTCTCTCTCTCTCTCTCTCCCCCGCCTCCCCCTGCCCCTTCCTTGCTTCCCCACCCAACTCCCACCCTACTAGGCTTGTACCTGAGTTTCACAGTCCTTGCAGAGAGAATTCGTGGCAGCCTCCCTGTGAGATTCTCCTGGTGAGACTCAGCAGACTTTCTAGGGGAGAAGAGCTGTGATTTTCCTCCAAGTAATTTTGACTATCAGGTCCTCACTGCAGCTTGTTCTGAAAAAGAATAGAGAACAGGCAGCTCTCTGTAGCTGCTATAATTGCAGAGCCAAATGAGAGAAGACAGAGGGAAGGAGGGTGTGAGCAAAAGAAGCGAGAATCATGGGACTTATGCAAACCCCATCCATGCTCAGGAGGGAGCTTCCCTAGAGGAACAGCGGGGACAGCCACTGCGACGACGGTAATGCTTGAGTCTAGTTGGTGATATATGCCACACAGTACTTGCACACTTTTCTGATTTTCCTTTTTTTGTTACTTTTTATTTTTATTTTGAGACAGGGTCTTACTCTGTCACCCAGGCTGGAGTACAGGCTACAGTGCAGTGGTGCGATCTCAGCTCACTACAGCCTCAACCTCCCAGGGTCAGGTGATTCTCCCACCTCAGCTGACCAGGTGGCTGGGACTATATGCCACCACTCCCAGCCAATTTTTTGTATTTTTTGTAGAGACAGAGTTTCGCCATGTTGCCCAGGCTGGTCTCGAACTCCTGGGCTCAGTTAATCTGCCTCAGCCTCCCAAAGCGCTGTGATGGCAGGCATGAGCCACCACACCCAGCCCTGATTTTCCTAAAGCTTTGTGGCTTGATATATCAGTTGAATTATGTTGGTCTAAAAATGAGATGTAGTCAAACTCATGGTTTAAAAAAAAAGTCCTGTTTAAAACCAGATTATTTGGCCAGGCGAGGTGGCTCACTCCTGTAATCCCAGCACTTTGGGAGGCCGAGGCGGGCGGATCATAAGGTCAGGAGATCGAGACCATCCTGGCTAACACGGTAAAACCCCGTCTCTACTAAAAAATACAAAAAATTAGCTGGGCATGGTGGTGGGCGCCTGTAGTCCCAGCTACTCAGGAGGCTGAGGCAGGAGAATGGCGTGAACCCGGGAGGCAGAGCTTGCAGTGAGCCGAGATTGCGCCACTGCACTCCAGCCTAGGTGAGAGCGAGACTCCGTCTCAAAAAACAAAGAAAAGAAAAACCAGATTATTTGATAAAAAACTTTTTCTTCACTTGCAGTAAAGCTAATTTGATAAATTTGTGAATTTCAGCTAGAATTTATAATTTTATCTACTTTACAATAAAAAATACATCTACCCTAAATGACAAATTTGTAGATCATCTCAATTGCCATATATTGCATAACTATTGTGCAGGAATATTGTGAAGGAAGCACTTTTCAGGCCTTTTTTTTTCTAATTTAATTTTCCCAATAACCCTAGAAAGAAGATAGGTATTATTACTAGCTTCTTTTTTTTTTTTTTTTTTTTTTTTTTTTTTGATACAGAGTCTCACTCTGTTGCCCAGGCTGGAGTGCAGTGGCGCAATCTTGGCTGACTGCAGCCTCTGCCTCCCAGGTTCAAGCAATTCTCCTGCCTCAGCCTCCCAAGCAGCTGGGACTACAGATACGCGCCACCATGCCCGGCTGATTTTTTGTATTTAGAGTAGAGACGGGGTTTCACCATGTTGGCCAGGGTGGTCTCGAACTCCTTATCTCAGGTGATCTGCCCGCCTCAGCCTCCCAAAGTGCTGGAATTACAGCCATGAGCCACTGCACCTGGCCTACTATCTCCTTTCTTAAAGAAGAGTAAACTAGGACTTAGGAAGGTGAAATAACGTCCCAAGGTCAAAGGTGAAACCTGGTCAGTCTCCCTCGGAAGCCCAAGTTCTTCTCTTCTCTGCTCTGCTCTCTGCAATGTGTCAGTCATCCCTGCACATGTGAATAACCTGAGGTACTTGTTGAAAACACAGATTCCGAGGCACCAGTCCTGCAGGTTCCAATCCAGCACCCTTGTTCTTGTTGCTGGGAATATGCATTGATGACAAGCAGCAGAGGCTATTCTAAAACAGATGCTGTAGTGCCTCGCTTTGAGAACCAGAGCTCCAGGAACTATTAAACATCCAGTACCTCCTAGTCCAGCCCCCAGAGATTAAATGGCTTCCTCAAGGCTGCTCCGTAACAGAACAGGGCTGGGATCAGAAGGGACCCAGCCGGCCCAGCATTCTTTCCACCACATTCCAGTGGAGAAAAAAATCAAGTTTCTGAGAGAGCTTTGTTCTTCCCCTCATTTTTTCAGTTCTTCAAGCAGCCAAACTCCCCTGGAGCGTCAAACAATATGTTCAAGGCCAGCACGGAAAAATCACACCACTAATTCGAAAAGTCTCAGTGCTTTTTGCCCATGTACTGCCAAAATTGGAAGCAGTGAAAATCATTTAAATATTACTTTTCTTTAATTGTGAGAATATCAGTGTGTGAAAATTGCCATGTGTAACCTTAAGAGTTGTTACAGCTTTCTAAAAAGCAAGCTTGCCTTTTCCAACTGCCATTCAGCAAGTATTGTTTCTCATTTTACACATCCCCATTAAATTCTCAGCACAGTATTAGACCTATACAATATCTAAATGCAGTTCAGAACTGCTTCTTAACATAGATGTAAATGGAAGTCTTATAATTCTATGAGATTATTATAGCTAAATTTACTGTTACACTGCCGTTCTCTGAGTTATTACCCTGAGATTGGTGTTTTACTCTCTGTATTTACCCAGTTTGTGTTGAATGAGCAAACATCAAGATTATTGGCTTAATGCCAAGGTTCAACAAACAATTGTTCCCCTGTTTGTGGGCTTATTTATTTATTTCTGGTTGTTCTCTGCAAGAATCTGTCAAACCAACTCTCTTAAAGGGATACCTAAAATATGCCTGGACTCTGTATTTTGGGGCAACACCATTCATTCATTACTGGTGTTACTGCAAGTGTTGGCAAATGAATTGCAAAAATCTTGATTATGCAAATGTGTTGTCGTGTGTGTGTGTTTTTAATGACAATATTCTGATTCAAATTTCCTTTAGTAATAGCAGTTTTCTTTATCACACAACTGTTCACAGACAGATTTGTGAGCTTCCTAAATGTGCTTGGTACAGTAACTGAGGCAACCTGCCCCAGCAGATTCAGAAGCCAGAAACTTCAGAGACCCCTTATAACTGAGCAACACAATGTATATGAGGGATGAGGGGTGACTGTTTTCAAGTAATGGAATGTTTGGGTTGAAATGTCTGGCAAAGGGATGTGAAGAACCAGAACAACATGGGATTTTAAAATTAGATCTTACACCAGGCGCGGTGGCTCATGCCTATAAGCCCAGCACTTTGGGAGGCCAAGGCAGGATCACCTGAGGTCAGGAGTTCGAGACCAGCCTTGTCAACATGGTGAAATCCTGTCTCTACTAAAATACAAAAATTAGCTGGGTGTGGTGGCGGGCGCCTGTGATCCCAGCTACTTGGGAGGCTGAGGCAGGATAATCACTTGGACAAAGGAGGCGGAGGTTGCAGTGAGCCGAGATAGCGCCACTGCACTCCAGCCTGGGCAACAAGAGCAAAACTCCATCTCAAAAAAAATTTTTAATTTAATTTAAAAATAAAATTTGATCTTGAATTCAAGATGACACTCAAAATGCCACCTGTCTCCTACAAGCTGGTGCCCTCTTGTCTTTTTCCAGAAGCCACAGTGCTCCCTGCAGTACATCTCAGATGCAACACAGTGAAGTGTCGTTCCCACCCTATAGCCCTCCTGTTGAACAGAGTGCTTCAGCGAAGCATGGGAGGGCTTATCAGCTGAATGAAGCCACTTAACATGTTTTAAAGGCCTGGGAATTCTGTTATTTAATGAGATAAATTCCCTTGTGTGGCATTTATACCCTCGGAGTTTTTTGCCCTTCTGAAAGTAGCACAAACTCTTTCTGGCTGCTCGGGTTCCTTGTAGTGATTTAATAAGTTTGTGGGAGTTACTTTATCATTTTAAATCTGGGATCAGCAAACATGTTCCATAAGAGGCTGGATAATAAAGATTTTAGGCTTTGCAGACCATATGATCTCTGCCATAACTACTCAACTCTGCCAGAAAAGCAGCTGTTGGGTGATAATATGTAAACAAATGGGAATGTCTGTGTTCCAATAAAACTTTATTTACAAACACTGACATTTGAATTTCATATAATTTTCACAAATCACTAAATCGTACTCTCCTTCATTTTTTTTTCAGCCACTTAAAACACAAAATCCATTCTTAGCTCATATGTCCTATAAAGACAGAGTGGGCAAGATTTGGTCGGTGGGTTTTCTAGTCTTTGCTTTAGACTAATAGTAGGCTGATAAAGTAGAAATGCCAACATTAGCCACTAGCTGCCCTCATTTACCTAATCCTCAACAAGCACTCAAAATATTAGCTATTATTGTAATAATTAGTCCATTGAGACATGTTTGGGAATGAAAATCAGTACATAATTTTTCTATTTATGGAAAGATGCCAGTAAACTCAGTAAATGTGGTATTGGGATTAGAACTGATTTCTCCATGTGACTTTCTACTTCTTAGAAAAGCTTGGAGTTGGAACTGATATCAGAAAGCTTCCACCGTGGAATCTGAAGCCTCTGGGCTGCCTATGACTCACCCTGCCCTAATACCTTGCCCTAATACGCTATTGCTGAGAGTGCTGCAGGGAGACAAGGCTGCTCTCTGGTTTATCCTGCGTCCCATGTGGGTTCAGTTTCTACCAGAACAGAGAGAAAACCAACTCCTAGGTTGGGTGATGGCAGGCGAGGATTTTCTTTTCTCCTTCACCCTGATCCACTAAATACAAAGATCCTTTCTCTACCAGGGAAGAGAAATAAGCAGCTGGTGTAACATCAGGGCTCCTAGTTGTAATTTTACGCATAATGATCTTCCTAGACTGAAAATTCCTTGATAAAATGAGGCCAGTGTTTCTTTTCTTCATACTTGATTGTCTAATGGACTTTGTCTTGATTCTTCTCCTTCATTTTCCTCCTCACTTCTTTCTCCTGTCTTCCATTTTTCTTTTCTATTTTCTGTTCTTGCAGTAATGATTTAATATTCAGAGGTGTTCTACACCCTTGCTACTCAAAGTCTGGTTGTATTTATTACCTATGGTTTTTTTAGCATAGCTAGTTGAATTGTAAGTTTATATAATTTAATTTTAATAACAGCTGTATTTAACAACTGGGGCCAAATTTCCTGTTAATCAGCTCTCATCAGCCAGTAAAAACTGGCCCTAACAGACCCCCAGAAAAAGGGCATTTTCACACCTTTGGATATGTTAACTTAAAAAACACACACAGTATCTAGAAATGTGGAAAGGAGAGAAAACTTCATTTCTTATAAAGGGTTACAGCCTGCAAGGTGGCCATCCTTCAGGCTGAGAAGCTTGCCTCGTGCAAAGACCAGAGACAGGGGCTTCAAAGGAGTAGGGGTTGGGGTAACAGCTTTATCCTGAACCGGCTGGCTAAACATACATATTCAACAGGTTGTAGGAGGAGCTATGAATATTCATAAAGGTAGTTCGGATGCATATGTATTAAACAAACATGCATGTTAACATATCACCCCATGTTCACTTTGGGGTGATTTAACATTTGAATGTATTACAAGTAAGTCCTATATATCAAAAGGTCTTTTGAGGACATGAAGCATGCAAGTGCATAACCTCTGTCAACTGGCCAGAAACAGTCCATGGTCGCTGGTCTTCTTATCAGGAGAAAGTTACTGAAATTGATCTCTTGTCCAATCAAAGCTGTAGTTAGGGCTGGTGTCGCAGGAGGTCAGTTAGAGCCTGTGAGCTGGATAAGCTGTAATTGTTTCAATATTGCTTATTTCTGGCCAGTGCTTGTTTAGCTGCTAAAGAGAAAGAAAAACTTCATAGCAAGATTAGAACATAGTTTCTTCTTTAAATGTAGAGGTGTATGACTTAACCATTGCCTTAGGTCCTATTTATAATTTGGTATGTTACTGCCACGAAAGTTCTGTCAATCTTCTTTTTTTTTTTTTCTTTTTGAGATGGAGTCTCGCTCTGTCACCCAGGCTGGAGTGCAATGGTGCCATCTCGGTTCACTGCACTCTCCACCTTCCGGGTTCAAGCAATTCTCCCTGCCTCAGCCTCCCAAGTATCTGGGATTACAGACACCCGCCACCACACCCGCTAATTTTTGTAATTTTAGTAGAGACGGTGATTCGCCAGGTTGGCCAGGTTGGTCTTGAACTCCTGACCTAAGGTGATCCACCTGCCTTGGCCTCCCGAAGGGCTGGGATTACAGGCGTGAGCCACCGCCTGTTCTGCCAATCTTCTGGTCTCTATTTTAACATTAATGCTGATCAGTTGTTGTGTCTAAACCAAGGCGGTATAAAAAAAAAAAAAAGGCATGTCTCACCTCTCATTCCGTCATAACCAGGAACTTGGTTTTTAAGTTGTTCTTGGGTCCCCTTGGCTCAGAAGGGGTCTGTTCAGTCTATGGTGGGCTTAGGATTTTATTTTAGTTTACACACTGTAGTCCTAGGATGCTGCAAACAACACCTGCACAACACACTTGGGTACCACCTACTCGTTCTCAGCAAATCTCTGTTCACAGAGAGCCTTAAAAGAAAAAAAAAAAGTTGTGTGCAGTATCTTACCCTTACAGTTATACAAACATCCATTCAACTTGCTCAAGAACATTTTATTGGTGTCCTTTGTGTTGGAATATTCTAATCGAGAATTTCCCCCAGTTTCCAGTTGGGGCATTACATGTGTCTTATGACACCCATGAGTTAATACTATCAGAGCTGTTCCCCCAACACCATTTTAGCTTTGTTTCAACTCTTCATTCAATAAATCTTCAATGTTTCTTGCTCCATAATTATAATACTTTGAGTTGAGTTTCATTTCCTCATCTTTCCTCTTCCTCAATTTTAGTAGAAGGAAAATTGACAGCAATATCCAATAACAGTGAAATGAGTTTAAATGCTGTAAGTAATCAGCTTCCTATCACAGAGCTGAGCATTAGTTTCCTTGGAAGGACCCAGGATTTTTACACCTCTAAGAATCCTCAGTTGTACTTTCCTGGTATTGTGGAGACAGAGAGAAACTGAGTCAGGCCACCTAGTTCCTCATCCTACCTTCATTAACTAGCTTCCCGTTGACCTTGGGAAAGTCACTCAACTTCTGCAAAACTAAAAAAAAAGAGTTGATAGGAGACCTCTAAGATTCCTTTTAGTTCGTTTTAATTCTTTAAAAAAAAATAAAAATTAAGATTAAAAGAAAATATCCGGGAAAGACAAACTTGATCCTCATTGGAGCAGTCTTCCTGGTCTGCCTTTTTGGACGGATAACACCTTGATTTAATTCTCTGCTAGAAATATGCATAGCCATGCTCTTTCCATACAGCCTAACAGCTCGTAAAATGCACCTGCCATTAAAATGATTTGCGTGACCCATTTGGCGGCTGCTGAGCTGTTTATGGTCCTGACTATCTGCTTTTCTTCATCGTGTTGGTTTCTGTTCGTGCGACCGTCTTTCTGAGGTCGCTTTTGTGCCACTGCCTTCTGGTGCTGTCGGGGCCGCCTCCACACCGTCCTCCGGCCCTCAACAGCCGTCTCTGCGACTGGACACCTGCCTCGCATGCCACACGATCACCTTCACTACAGACAGTGTCTAAAAACAAGGATGTGGTCCAGGCACCAGGGGTAGGGGCGTGTCACACACACCGTGTCTTACAAAGAGGAAAAATAAGAGGTTCCCGCAAGATGCTTGCGACTCTGGTACTTTTCAAAGTAACGCAGCCAGGCAGCGGGCTTTCCCCCGGCCCCTCGCTCTGGATAGGGCTGCCATTTGCATCCTAGCTGTGATTTAGACACCTCCAACCTTCTAGTTTTCAGTTACAAGAGTCCCATCTCCGCCCAGGTCCCAGGTCTGCATGACGTAATTTATTGTGGCAACCATTCCTGGCGACTGCCCAGAAACTCAGTGCGTCCTGCCCGGGGTTTAAGCGCGGGAAGTGGGAGAGGCGGGTGGCGCCCGAGCGCAGTAGCAGGGGCGTAGGGCGCAGGGCGCAGGAGCGCGGGACCACCGGCGCCGGAGCGCGGCAGGGAGCGCTCGCGGGGGCGCACAGCAGCCAAGCCCGCGGAGGAGGAGCGCGCGCGCGCAGCATGGGCTGTGGACCTTCCCAACCTGCTGAAGACCGGAGACGTGTACGCGCGCCCAAGAAGGGCTGGAAAGAGGAATTCAAGGTAATAAACAAACAAACAAACAAACAAACAAACAGACAGAAAGCCTTTTGCCTGGGAGGTCTCGCGATTCCCACGCTTGGGGGCGACAAGAGTTGGCTGGAGCAGGGTCGGTCGAGGCTAGTTAACAGGTGGGAGCAACTTTATTCTGCCGGTGTTTAACTGCTGTCTTAACCGGGACTAGACGGATGCATAAATATCAAAATATATCTATCTATATCGATAGAGAGTATAGATACAGATATATGGCTATAAGATCAATTTTGAGAGCCTTTGGTGTTTAAAGAGATTACGAAGGTGGTCACACCCCAGGGCACAGGCAAGGAATAACCGGATGAGCAGCATGTTCTGCACAGAGCTAGTGTTGACCGTGATTCTCGAGGGAAGGTTAGAGTCCGTAGGAACTGCCATATATTATTGGCTTCTGAAAAATAGGCCCTTTGGTCGTTTCTTAAAGCTGGGAGAGATCTCAGAACCTATCTGGTTGCGTCCTCTCGATTCATAGATGAGAATCATGAGGCCCAGAGAGATAGGCGACTTGTCCGAGGCTGCACAGCTAATTTGGGGGCACAGCGAAGGTAGAATTTAGTTTTCAAGAGTTTCGTTCCAATACTCTTTTCCCTAATTCCTCAAAGTTGCATGCACTGTAATTCTTCTAGAGACATTATGGGGAATTTTTTCCAGAGCGAGACCTAGAGGGATGAGTTGGCTGAGCAGAAATGAGGTCCATGATTTCTTTGCATCCTTACCACCCTCCAGATTCCACAGACAGCGCTAGCAACCCTCAAGGGTCCACCTAAGAGGGGTTACACCGAAAGATAAGGCTAACATATAATTTATCATCAAAATTATGCTTTTAAGAGTGAAAGGAAACCCTATTAATACATTTTCCCAAAGACCCTGGCTGAAGCACAGCAAACTGGGACTTATGGCCACCTTTCCGAAGGGTCATTTTTGGAGCTACTGTTCAAAGAGCACACACTTGGTCTCAGCAGGCACTGTGCAAGACACTATTAAGTGCCAGCTGCAGCACCTACTTCATGTGGGGCACATCTCTTGGGCTCTTGGAGTACATTTTGAAACAAGCAAACCAGAATCTAGTGAAGGCTGACTCCACATTTAGTACCTGGTGCCCTGGGGGAAGCCTGTGCCCAAATGGCCACCCATCTTAACACTATTTTCTGCTTTCCATCCTGAAACTGCCACTGTCTCTGTATAGGGACCCATTACCTTTTTTTTTTTTTTTTTTTTTTTGAGACGGAGTCTTGCTCTGTCACCCAGGCTGGAGTGCAATGGCACGATCTCAGCTCACTGCAACCTCCATCCCCCGGGTTCAAGCAATTCTCCTGCCTCAGCCTCCTGAGTAGCTGGGATGACAGGCGTGCGCCACCACGCCCAGCTAATTTTTGTATTTTTATTAGAGACAGAGTTTCTTCATGTTGGTCAGGCTGGTCTCGAACTCCTGACCTCGTGATCCACCCGCCCCAGCCTCCCAAAGTGCTGGGATTACAGGTGTAACTCACCGCACCCTGCTAGGACCCATTACCTTTTATGGGGTATTTCTGCCTCTCCTGACAGGATCCTAACAAGTTTCTCCTCCACACTGCCACCTATCTTGCCAAGGGAAAAATTTCTCTTCGTGTGCAAAACCCTTTAGTTTATAATCTATCCTGTCCCTCTAATGTCATCCTCTTCTCTTGTCTTCTGCCAGTGCCTGTCACTCATGGGCTCTTGGATCTGCTAAACCAAATGACTCTCAGGGCTCAGTTCTTCCAGGCATCTCACACCTCCATGCCTTTACCTGTGCCATTCCCTCTTCCTGAGATGCCCTCCCTGGGACCCTCTCCTATTGGCCTGGTGAACTCATGATCACTTTGGACTAATACGTAGAAATACTTTTTTCTCCCATTTTTCAAAAATACATTAATGTCACTTAAAAGTGCTAATCCATTGTTCTTGTCGCCCTTTTCATACAAAAATCTTTCTTTTATTTTTTATTTATTTTGCTGGCCTGATTACATATAAGACTTCAACAGAAAGAAATGGGTTTCTTTTCTCGCCGTTATCATTTGTTCCATTTCATGGTTACTGCTAAAACTAATTTCGTTGCACAGCATAGGAGGGGATGCTAAAAACCAATCCTCTCCAAGCGTCAAATACAAGATGTCTTCTGGGCCAAGCCATTCCAAGGCCCAGGAGGGTTCCTGGGTTTCTACCTACATTTCTTGGGTAAGATAATTATCACTTCTCGCTTGGATTTTTGTGCAAGTCTCCTAATTGCTCTCCCTGGATCCTTTTTCTACTTCCTGCTACACCTGACCTCCTCCTCTAATCATCCACATGACCTCCAGAAGGATCTTTCTCAAATAAAATCTGATTATCTCAGTCCTCTTTTGAAAAGAAGTCACCAACCCATTAGGTAGGACACATAAACCCATGGTCAAGAGTATGACAAGCTAGGTTTGATTTCTAGATTTATTATTTATTTGTTGTGTGACCTTTTTCAAGTTATTTAACCTCCCTGTGCCCCAGTTTTCTTATTTGTAAAATGAGGGCAGTAATAATACACATAGTGGGGCCTCTCTATCTGTGGGTTCCACATTCAGGGATACAAGAAGCATGGCTGGAAAATATTCTTTTTAAAAAAAAACTGTACTGAACATGTATAGACTTTTTTTTGTTATTGTGCCTTAAACATACAGTACAACAACTATTTACATAGCATTAACATTGTTTTAGGTATTTATGAATAATCTACAGATGTTTAAAGTATACAGAAGGATGTGCATAGATTATATGCAAATACTACACCATTTTCTATAAAGGACTTGAACATCCATGGGTTTTGGTATCCGAGGGAGGTCCTGGAACCAATCCCCCACTAATGCTGGCGATGACTGTACTTATTTTGTAGAGTTGTTGTGAGGGTTAAATAAACTCAGTATAAGTCAAGTGCTCATACCAATGCCTGACGCAGAATAAGTGCATGATGTAAATTATTTCAATTATTATTATAAGATAAAATCCTGGCCGGGTGTGGTGGCTCCTGCCTGTAATCCCAGCACTTTGGGAGGCTGAAGGGGGCGGATCACCTGAGGTCAGGGGTTTGAGACCAACCTGACCAACATGGAGAAACCCTGTCTCTACTAAAAATAAAAAATTAGCCGGGCGTGATGGCACATGCCTGTAATCCCACCTATTTGGGGGGCTGAGGCAGGAGAATAGCTTGAACCTGGGAGGCGGAGATTGCGGGGTGAGCTGAGATCATGCCACTGCACTCCAGCCTGGGCAACAAGAACAAAACCCTGTCTCAAAAAATAAAATAAAATACCTGTAATCCCAGCACTTTGGGAGGCTGAGGCGGGCAGATCACAAGGTCAGGAGATCGAGACCATCCTGGCTAACACGGGGAAACCCCGTCTCTACTAAAAATAGAAAAATTAGCCGGGCGTGATGGCGGGCTTCTGTAGTCCCAGCTACTCCGGAGGCTGAGGCAGGAGAATGGCATGAACCTGGGAGGCGGAACTTGCAGTGAGCCAAGATGGCGCCACTGCACTCCAGCCTGGGCAAAAGAGCCAGACTCTGTCTCAAAAATAAAATAAAAATAAAATCCTAAATCCTTACTTAGCATGCTGTCCTGGCCCATCCTGGAGCTGACCTCTGCTAACTCCTCCAGTCTTGTCTCTCCCCACACTCACACCGTAGACAAACCTTAGGACTTGTTCCCCAGGCCCATTCTGTCCCTAGCTCCATGCCTTTGCACCTACTGTTTCCTCTCTTTCCAGACTTTTCCTTCTCCCTCTCCGGGGTCACATGATAAATGTGTACCCATTTTACAAGACACTCGAGGTCACTCCTCCTGAAGCTCTTCATGACCTCCCATCCCCAACCTCTGCCACCATGCTGGCAGGGTTGATCTTATACCTTCTACTATCATATTTCAAAGCATTTTATTATATGTGTTTGTTTCTATATTTGCCTTTCATCCTGTGCGGTTACCTCCTTGAGGACAGGCACTGTTTTTTAATCTTTGTATCTCCAATTCTTACTACACTGCCTGATACTGATCAGGCACTAATGAATCTTTCTTGAGCAAATGCATGTCCCTCCTGGTTCCAAGATTCCTTAATGTCTTCTTGTCTCCTAGTAGCCTAACTAGACTAATGACAGTCTGCAAGGAGGAAATTCAATTTTAAAATAACCTGAAAATAGACTGAGAGTCGACCTTCTTTCCTAGCCCCAAGCACTTGACTTTGGAAATCTGATCTGGGAAAGGTATGATTATTATTAATTAAACACTCTATAACTATTGGAATAATAATAATTTCTTTCACAGCTTTCATAAATGCATAAGGCTTAGGGTTCAGTAGTTCAGCAGGATCTTTAAAATGAAATGAACGTGTTTGCTTGCATGAAATATTTATGTTTCTTAGTAACATGACTTTAAAATATTCTAAATCAAATTTCTTGAGACCTATATACAGACTTTCCCTTCACTTTTACTTTAGTTTATCGTGGTGAGAAGATACAGTAATAAAATAATGCATAATAATAAGAAAAGCATGGAAAACTTCTTAGTTGGAGAAATGTTTTTCTTCTATGAGAATAACTCAAAATTCCTTGCCTGTTATAAAAGAGGAGAGGCTGGATTGGAATAGATGGTCTCCAAGGACCCTGCACAATTTTTTCCTAATACCTGATAAGAAAATTCTAGTTGATTGTCAGTAAAGGGGAGTAAATTACTTCTTAAAAATCAAATTTTGAAGAAATTCTTCTTATATGTCTATAGACAAATATATTCACAAAATATATCTGCTAATAAATTGACTTAAGAAGGTTTTAACTCAAGGATGCCTTGACAAATTATTCCCTTCAAGCTGTTTGGTAAATATGTTTCCCAAAAGCTATAGAACAAATGTAGTACATCCATACCAAAAAACAAATAAACAAAAACACACAACAAACAAACAACACCTGTCCGTATTTAAAAGCAATACCTTATTTGGAATGCTAATGATTTCTGTGCATAGCTGTTAGCTTATAATTCACAACTTTTAAATTCTACCTAAAATTGATAAAAAAATTTATCCCCAAGACACTGAGGTATAAAAAAAGTTCATAAAATGTAGAAACACACTGAATCCGTACCCCCGAGGAAAAAATAGAACATTCTACTCACCATTCCATCCCCTCCCCAAGTATCATTACCTATATAATATGCAGGTATACTTCTTTTCTTCTTCTTCCTTCTTTCTTCTTTCCTCTTTCTTCTTCTTCTGAGACAGGGTCTCACTCTGTCACCCAAGTTGAAGTGCAGTGGTACAATCACGGCTTTCTGCAGCCTCAACCTCCCCTGGCTCAAGAGATCCTTTCACCTCAGCCTGCTGAGTAGCTGGGAATACAAGTATGAGCCATCATGCCCGGCTAATTTTTGATATTTTGTAGAGATGAGTTTGGCCATGTTGCCAAGGCTTAATGTAGGTATACTTCCTACTGGTGTGAAAATATAAATTCTTCATGTATATGTAGAATAAGAACACTGCTATATCCCTGAGAGGCATAGATCTAATTAACTTATAAGTATGTCTGGTCTTTAAACTATGTCTGTTCTCAAGTCTACACTCATTATGAAATTGGGTTAAAATTTCCAGAATGTGTTACACATGGGTAAGATATTTGAAAGACATTCTGAGTTTTCAAAAGAGAAGAACCTTAAATTTCTGCTCTGGTTTATGTTGTTTCATGATAAAAGACTGTGTTTTGTCTGCTACAATTTAGGTTTTGGTCACCAGCAGAGCTCAAAGGCAGACTGTCTCTAAGTAAGAACAGATGGGTAGAGATCCTTGCTAAGGCCTGGATTCCAAATCCAAGTAGTTATAGTAGCTTTGATAACTCAATTGTGAGGTCACTGAGGTTGTGGTATTTAAATCTATGCCAAGTTGTAATGTACAGAAAGTCTTTGTGAAAAGCCATCGTTTAGACTGAAAATATTCAAATTCGCTCTCAATTCCCGTGGGCATTTTGCTATTGTTGTTGTTGTTACTATCGTTAAATCATTAAATTTTTCCATTTGGAAAAAGCCCAAGAGTCTTTCAAGAGTCTCCACTTGGAAATGTTAAATGACGAAACTGGACCCTGTTTGTAACTCAGTGCTTCTCTAGGATCAAAAAATGATGGATCTGCAAACCAAAATAAACTTGTGAAAATACTTGTCTTACCGTCACTGTAGATATTGGCTTTTAGTAGTTTATTTGGAAAGAAGGAAAACAGTGTTCAACATGACTTACGTGATGTGCATCTTTACCTTTAGCATGAACTGTGAGCATCAGATAGGGTCTCCTTCCTGTTCTTTTTCTTTTTCTTTTTTTTTTTTTTGAGATGGAGATGGAGTCTTGCTGTGGCCCAGACTGGAGTGCAGTGGTGTAATCTCGGCTCACTGCAACCTCCGCCTCTCGAGTTCAAGTGATTCTCCTGCCTCAGCTTCCTGAGTAGCTGGGATTACAGGTGCCTACAGCCACACCCAGCTAATTTTTGTATTTTTATTGGAGATGGGGTTTTGCCATGTTGGCCAGGCTAGTCTCGAATTCCTGACCTCAGGTGATCTGCCTGCCTTGGCCTCCCAATTTCCTTTTCTTTTGTTATATATTTTATATACATATAAAACACACACATATATATAACATATGCACATATGTTACATGTAATATGTTGTATGTAAAGACTCCTTTCTTGGTTCTGCTTACTCTACAGGGACAAGATGGGCAGTAACTGTGTCCATGAAGAAGGACAGATGGACGGAGACAGAGAAAAGCACATCGTTGCTTTTAGGCTTTCTCTTTGTGCCAATTCCCATTTCATATCCACTGAGTTTTTGATGACTTTCTTGTTTGTTTGGTTGGTTTTTCATTATTTCTCATGTAGCCCTGAGACACAGAACTAATTAACCCTCAACACAATGAACTGATATTGGTTTAGCTGGAGTTACCATTTTGCATAAACACAGTGATAAGGAGCTATGTAACTCCCACTACAAGCATGCAAGAATCCCTAACTGAATTATGAAAACCTGATCGTGACAGACACCACCATAACCTAGCCATTGTGATCTCTACTTAGCCTCTGAGGAACTTCAAACGTTAGAGTAATTCCAGAAAGTGGTTAACACATGCTTGTATATATTTTTTAAATTTGTATGACTTTTACTGTGAAAGTACCAAGAGTTTCATGACAAGGCCTTATTTTTAATTCATTTTTCTTAAAGAAAATGTTTCCTGCCTAGAGTCATAATTTTAGAGCCAGAGGACCTCCTGTCTTCAAACTGAAGCTCTGAGAGGTTGCTTCTCACAGTACACTTTCTAATATTTCTGGACCCACTTCTTTCCCCCATTCTTGCTGCCACCATCTTTGCTCATGTTTAATCACTTCTCACCTTGACAACTGCAATAATTGCAACTGATCACCATGTTCTGTTCCTTCCGTCCACTCCTGTCACTTGCAGGAACCCAAAAGTGATTTTTCTAGAAAACCCTCCTGATGATTTTCATTTATTTCCATGGATAAAAATCCTACACAGGATTCCTGTCGCATTCAAAATAGAATCAATCTCCTTTGCTTGTCACAAAATACTTCCCTTTTTCACTTC
Organism: Homo sapiens; assembly: GCF_000001405.40. Lineage (NCBI taxonomy): Eukaryota > Metazoa > Chordata > Mammalia > Primates > Hominidae > Homo > Homo sapiens. Next base: position 17,109,978 of record NC_000006.12, read on the forward strand.
AGTGCCTTCCACTGTCTACCCCAATCTGTTTCTGCTACACTGGAAGAATTCATGTTCCTGGACACACAATATGATTCCATCTCCCTGTCTTGTGTATGCTTTTCCACCTGCCTAGAATGTCCTTTTCTCCTTGTCCACTGGAAGCTCATTTATCAAGAACCAATTCAGGCATTTTTTTCTTCTTTCATACCTTTTGCTCCCTCCAACAAGATACAAACTTTTATCACAGTACAGCAAGGCTTTGCTGCAGAGAGTGGGAGGTTAGGCATGGCGTCACGTGCCTGTAGTCCTAGCTACTGGAGAGACCAAGGCAGGAGGATTGCTTGAATCCATGCACTTTGACTGTGCCTGTGAATAGCCCCTGCTCCCCAGCCTGGGCAACATATGGAGACCCTGTCTCTAAAAAAAAGAGTGGCAAGTGGAGGGCAGAGTCCTGAGGCCCTTCAAAGACTCGGCAGGAAAGAAAAGTGCCCCTTGGGCCAAAAAGTCAAATCAATAGACATTAAATGAGTCCAGTCGCGGTGGCGCACGTCTGTAATCCCAACACTTTGGGAGGCCGAGGTGGGCAGATCACGAGGTCAAGAATTCGAGACCAGCCTGGCCAACATGGTGAAACCCCGTCTCTACTAAAAATACAAAAATTAGCCGGGCGTGGTGGTGCGCTCCTGTAACCTCAGCTACTCAGAAGGCTGAGGCAGGAGAATCACTTGAACCCGAGAGGCAGAGGTTGCAGTGAGCCGAGATCGCACCACTGCACTCAAGCCTGGGTGACAGAGCAAGACTCTGTCTCAAAAAAATAAAAAATAGACATTAAAAGAATCCTGGGAAGACATTACCGAGTGGAAGATGCACGTGTTCTTTGTGTTCTTATCTCTTCTGGAGACACTGAGGAGACTTCCTGTGGTATGTGTGTCTTAGATGGAGAAGACCTTGATAGCATCCATTGAAATGAGAAGTGGGAAACTTGCAATGAAAGAGGGCCAGCACCTGGAGAGAGAAGACATGGTAGTCAGGGGAGATACGATAAAAGTTTTTCTGAACACATTAGCATTTAAAATTTACTTACTCTAAAAATAAATGACAGTTCTTTAAATTGAATTAATTCAGCTTTGTGAAAAACTCATTACATTGTTCTTGTTTTGCTATGGAACTGTGAAAAATTTAACACGGACCAGCATTTTGTCGTCAGTGGTTTACTAAATCACCTAGAGGCCATTTTTATGCTTTGTTTTGACCTATTTACAAGCAATGGAACTGTGGTTTGAAGAAACAGACTCCCTTGAAAGGAGAAGGTGGGATTATAAATTAGTGCAGTATTTATCGAGGGCCTTCTGGAAACACATATTAATATAAAATGTGCATATCCTTAGACCCAGCATATCCACATCCAGGAATGTATTCTCATGGAATGATTGGATGGGTTCACGGGTTCACAGTGATGTATATTCACAGATATTATTCCAACACAGTTTATAATATTGAAAAGTTAGAAACACCTACATGTCCTTCAGTAGGACTTGGTTAAATACATTGTGGCATAGTTACATAATGAGCTCCAATGCCATCATCAGATAAGTAGCTACTCCTTATCACTAAATAGAGCGAGGTAGACCTATGTATGTTGACATAGGTAAGTGTTTCTTATATATTGTTAAGCAGGTTACAGAAATATAATATAATTTAGTATGTAATTCTTTTTATTATTTTTAAAACAGCTTTATTAAAATATAATTCACATGATTCACCTACTGTCTTAGTCTGTTTGTGCTGCTACAACAGAATACCATGGAAGGGGTAAATTTTAAAATACAGAAATTTCTTTCTCATAGGAAGTCCAAGATCAAGGCAATGGAAGGTTTGATTATCTGGTGAGGGCTGCCCTTCTGTGTCCTCACATGGCAGAAAAGCAGAGCAAGTTAGCTGAAGCTGTGTGAAGCTTCTGTTTATAAACACCTTAATCCCATTAATGAGGGAGTATCCCGCATGGCCTAATCAACTCTCAAAGGTCCTACCTGTTAATATTATCACATTGGTAACACCTGAATTTGAAAGGGACACATTCAAATCATAGCATCCATTTAAAATGTACAATTGACAGCCATTACCACAATGTAATTTTAGAACAATTTTGCCCTCTTCAAAGAAATGGCTACCCATTGATAGTCAATCCTCGTTCCCCCACCCTAAGCAATCAATAAATCTATCTTCTGTTTCTATAAATTTGCCTATTCTCAATATGAATGGCCTTTGTGATTGGCTTTTTTCACTTAGCATAATATTTCCAAGTATCATCTATGTTGCAACGTATGTCAGTGTTTAATTTCTTTTTCTTGCCAAATAATATTCCTTTGGATGACTGTACCACATTTTATTTATACATTCATCATCTGATGGACACTTGGATTATTTCCACTTTTGGGGTATTATAAATAATAATTGTGAATATTTGTGTGCAGTTTTTTTGCAAGAACAGATGTTTTTATTTTGCTTGGGTACATACTTAGGGGTGAAATTTCTGGGCCAGGCATGATGGCTCACGCCTGTAATCCCAGCACTTTGAGAGGCCGAGGCGGGTGGATCACAAGGTCAGCAGATTGAGACCATCCTGGCTAACACGGTGAAACTCCGTCTCTACTAAAAATACAAAAAATTAGCCAGACGTGGTGGCAGGTGCCTGTAGTCCCAGCTACTCAGGAGGCTGAGGCAGGAGAATGGCGTGAACCCGGGAGGCAGAGCTTGCAGTGAGCCGAGATTGCGCCACTGTACTCCAGCCTGGGCGACAGAGGGAGACTCCGTCTCAAAAAAAAAAGAGAAAAAGAAATTTCTGGGTCACATGGTTAACTCTATGTTTAATTTTTGAAGAGCTTTCAAAGTGTTTTCTAAAGAGCTGCACCATTTCACATTTGCCCAGCAATATATGAGGGTTCCAATTTCTCCACATCCTCACCAACACTTGTTATTGTGTGTCGTTTTCATTATAGTTATCCTAGGGTATATGAAGTGGTATCTCACTGTAGTTTTGATTTGCATTCCCCTACTGATTAATAATATTGAACATCTTCTTGTGTGCTTATTGGCCAGTTCCAATTTATTTTTAAAGGTTATGTGAGCAAACACATCTGGGCAATGATATACTAAAATGTTAGTAGTGCTTCTGTCTAGAAGATATAATTTCTTATTTTCTACTGTGTTTCTCTATCAATCAACGTTCTACCAGAGGGAAAGAACCAGTAGGATAGACAGATGGATAGATAGGTAGATAGGTAAATTGTAAGGAATTGGCTGATACAGTCATGAAGGCTGGCTAGGAAAATCAAAATCCATAGGATAGGGCAGGCAGTCGAAAAGAACAGACTGGAGTTGAAGCTGCCGTTCACAGGCAAATCTCCTCTTCCTCAGGAAGACCTCAGTTCTACTCTTGAAGCCTTTCAATTGACTGGATGAGACCTACCCAGATTATCAAGGGTAATCTCCTTTACTTAAAGTCAATTCATTATTTATATTAACCACATCTACAAACTACATTTACAGTAACACCAAGATTTGTGTTTGACAGAATAACTGGCTACTATAGCCTAGCCCAGCTGACACATAAAACTGATCATTGCAATTCTCTTTTATATTATGTAATTATTTTTTACAATAAGTCTGCATCACTTTTTTTTTTTTTTTTTGAGATGGGGTTTCGCCACCTTGCCCAGGCTGGTCTCGAACTCCTGGGCTCCAGAGATCCTCCCTCCCCAGCCTCCCAAAGTTCTGGGGTTACAGGCATGAGCCACCACATCCAGCCTGTATTACTTTTTTAATCAGCAAAAACAATATAGCTTCGTTATTATAAATTGTTTTAATACCATAGTACCTCTACTCTCACACTCAGTGCTGAGCTTGTCTATCTTGGTATCCTCCAGAATGCTCAGCGTAGTAGCTTTTACCTGGTAGATGCCTATTAGATACTATATTAGTTTTCTACTGCTGCTATAGCCAATTCACACAAATTTAGTGGCTTCAAACAGCAGTCACCAACCTTTTTGGCACCAGGGACCAGTTTTGTGGAAGACAGTTTTTCCATGGACTAGGGTTGTGGGGATGGTTTCAGGATGACTCTACAGCATTACATCTATTGTGTACTTTATTTCTATTATTATTACATTGTAATATATAATGAAATAATTATACAACTCATCATAATGTAGAATCAGTGGGAGCCTTGAGCTTGTCTTCCTGCAACTAGACAATCCTATCTAGGGGTGATGGAAAACAGTGACAGATTATCAGGCATTAGATTCTCTTTTTTTTTTTTTTTTGAGACAGAGTTTCACCCTTGTGGCACAAGCTGAAGTGCAGTGGCATGATCTCGGCTCACTGCAACCTCTGCCCCCTGGGTTCAAGCGATTCTCCTGCCTCAGCCTCCCGAGTAGCTCAGATTACAGGCACCCGCCACCATGCCTGGCTAATTTTTTGTATTTTTAGTAGAGATGGGGTTTCACCATGTTGGGCAGGCTGGTCTTGAACTCCTGACCTCAGGTGATCCACCCGCCTCAGCCTCCCAAAGTGCTGGGATTACAGGCGTGAGCCACTGCGCCCGGCCACATTAGATTCTTACAAGGAGTACGCAACCTAGATCCCTCGCATGTGCAGTGCACAATAGGTTTTGTGCTCCTATGAGAATCTAATGTCACTGCTGATCTGACAGGAGGCGGAGCTCTGGGGGTAATGTGAGTGATGAGGAGCAGCTGTAAATAAAGATGAAGCTTCGCTGGCTAGCCCACTCCTCACCTCCCGCTCTGCAGCCCAGTTCCTAACAGGCCACGGACCAGTACTGGTATGTGGCCCAGGGGGTTGGGGACCCCGATCTATGGCTTTCTGGTTACTATACAGCCCACCACAGATACTAGCTGGCTAAATATTCACAAAGCAGACCCTGCAACATTGTTTTTATTTACCAAGAAATCTTGACTCTAACAAAACTGTTCCCTTTTCACAGGCTGATGTCAGTGTGCCTCATACTGGGGAAAATTGCAGCCCCCGGATGGAAGCTGCTCTGACCAAGAATACTGTGGACATTGCAGAAGGCCTGGAACAAGTCCAGATGGGAAGCTTACCTGGAACCATTTCAGAAAATTCTCCATCTCCTAGTGAAAGAAACAGACGAGTAAATTCAGGTAACCTCCCTCTGCCCCCATTCACGTAGATCTTCACAAAATACTGTTTCTCTAAATACGTTTACAAGGTTTCTTTGGTGGTCCTTTTATCATTGCTTTCTGGGCCATGAAGTACATTAAATGGCAGTGTTTTTGTCTCTGAAACATTAGAATTTAGCCTTAGGCCTTCATTATGTGAGTAAATAATGCTAAGCATTAATCTTCTTGTCAATGAAGTAATTAGGACCATCTTTAAAAAAAAAAAAAAAAAAAAAAGAACTAAGAGGCATTATTGGGAATTAAGGCCAGACTTTAGGAATGGGACTTGCACAGTTCAAAGGAATTTAAACTCCCACGATGATAACATCTTTCCAAGGATAAGTTCTACATTTACAAAAATAAATAAAACCTACAATAAACTGTTTTCCCTGTCTTTTCCCATCCAAAGTATCAGCAAATATACAACAAAAGAATCTTTCAGAAATGTGAAAGAGGTAGTTATGATTTACTTGTGCTATTTAGAAACTATTTGTGGGTTTTCCTATGGTGTGTTTTCCCTTGACTTGAGTTACCGCCTGGTGTCCATTTAAGTCATCTTATTTATATTCGGTCAGCCTTTGAAACATATTGAACTTCACAGCCCTCAAGGAAAAGTACTCTTTTTATTTCAGGGGGGAAGACTTTTGCTCCCCATCACTGTTATTTCTTCTCTAGGTACAAGTTGGGATTGGAAAACAGATGGGTTCATACATGTGATTCTATTTCTTGAACTTTCCTGGCACACTCAGGTTATCACAGATTTTCTATTCGCCCTCCCCTTGCTGTAGTCAGCGTGACCTCAGAGAATGACTAGGAGGTTGAGGAATGCAGCACAGGAATGGACTCTCCCTCCCTTCTATGTGTTAGGTTGACAAATACATTTTTTTTCTTTCCAATAATTTTGTTGATGCAACTTCCCTCTAGACAGCAACATGAATGCTAAATATCAGTGTTGGTCACAGACTGCAGAGCGTCAGGCAGACAGGGACCTGGTGACCCAGAACAGTCAGTGCTGCCAGCTGTGTGTACAATGTTAAAGGTGGTATGAAGAGGGTGACAGGTAAGCAGAAGGGTGTTGAGAGAGAACAGCTAGGGAGGAAGTCAGCCACCAAAGCAGATGTTCCTAAAATGCAGCGTCAAGGAGTCCTCAGGAAGCATCTTACCACAGAGTGAGTAGGACCTAGTACCCTGAACTTTCTATTTGTCCTCTGCCCAGTTTTCTCTCTATGTCTCAGCCCTTGGCATCCTCCTTTTTGTGTCTCTGCTCTTCAAATCTGCAGAGTATACCTCTTTTTTTTTTGAGACAGAGTTTTGCTCTGTCACCCAGGCTGGAGTGCAATGGTGCAATCTCCGCTCACTGCAACCTCCGCCTCCCAGGTTCAAGCAGTACTCCTGCCTCAGCCCTCTGAGTAGCTGGGATTACAGGCATGCGCCACCATGTCCAGCTAATTTTTGTATTTTTAATAGAGACGGGGTTTCACCATGTTGGCCAGGCCGGTCTCGAACTCCTGACCTCAAGTGATCCACCTGCCTCAGCCTCCCAAAGTGTTGAGATTACAGGCATGAGTCACTGCACCTGCAGAGTATATTTCTTAAGACTATCAAGTTTCACACTAACATTCCCCAAGTGTTTCCTTGTTTAAAAAACTTTTTATTTTGTATAATTTCAGAGTCAAGAAAAGGTGCAAAAAACAAAGAACACCTATATTATTTCACTCAGATTCCCCAAATGTTAACCTTCTGCCACATTGCATTATCATATCCCCCCTTATGCAAGCAGATTTTTTTCTGTTAATAAGTTACAGACATAATGCCACTTCGCTTTCACATACTCCAGTGTGTATTTCCTAAAAACAAGGATACTCTTTGCATAATCACTATACAAGGATCAAAATTGGGAAATTACCTTTTTTTTGTTTGTTTTTTTTGAGACGGAGTTTTTCTCTTGTTGCCCAGGCTGGAGTGCAATGATGCCATCTCGACTCACTGCAACCTCCGCCTCCTGGGTTCAAGCAATTCTCCTGCCTCCGCCTCCTGAGTAGCTGGGATTACAGGCGCCCACCACCATGCCTGGCTAATTTTTGTATTTTTAGCAGAGATGGGGTTTCATCATATTGGTCAGTCTGGCCTCGAACTCCTGACTTCAGGTGCTCCTCCCGCCTTGGCCTCTCAAAGTGCTGGGATTACAGGTGTGAGCCACCATGCCCGGCCAGGAAATTACCTCTGATGTAGTACTATTATCTCATCTATAGATCATATTCAAATTTTGTCAATTGTCTCACAACTGCTCTTTATAAATGAATTTCTGATTCAGGATCTGTCTAATCCAGGATCACATGTTTAATTTAGTCATCTATGGTCTTTAGTCTTCTTTAATCTGAACAACTCCTCAGCTTTTCTTAGTCTTTTATGACCTTGCTATATTTGGAAAGCAGAAAACATTTATTTTGCAGAATGTTTATCAATTTGGGTTTGTTTGAGCTTTCCTCCTGATTGGATTTGGGTTACGCTTTTTTTTTTTTTTTTTTTTTTTTTGGAGACAGAGTCTTGTTCTGTCACCCAAGCTGGATTGCAGTGGTGCAGTCTCAGCTCACTGCAACCTCCGCCTCCCAGATTCAAGCAAGCAATTCTGTCTGCCTCAGCCTCTCGACTAGCTGGGATTACAGGTGCCTGCCACCACACTTGGCTTTTTTTTTTTTTTAGTAGAGACGGAGTTTCACCATGTTGGCCAGGCTGGTCTTGAACTCCTGACCTCAGGTGATCCACCTGCCTTGGCCTCCCAAAGTGCTGGGATTATAGGCATGAGCCAGGGTTACACAATTTTAGCAAGAATACCAAAAATGATATTGTGTCTTTCTTAATACATCAAATTAGGAGGTACATTATATCTATATTCAACTCATTATGTTTATGGGGTTTTTGCTATGCAAAAGTTTATTTTTAATCTAGTAACATTTATAAATGTTTAAAATTCAGTTTGGATTTTGAGTCACAGTTAGAAAGTCTTTCCCTACACCAAGGTTAAAGATAAATTCACCCGTGTTTTCTTGTATAATTTCACTTTTTACACTTATGCTTATGAAGAGTTTCCAATGACATCAGAAAATGCTAACATAAATGTTAGCTAGATAGGAAATGAAACTGTATGTTCAGTATGATGTCAAACTTATAAAAATAAAATTTTGTATATTAACAATGGTAATCTCTGGGTGGTGAAAGCATGGGCGTTTTTTTAATCTTTTACTAGTTTCTGTATTTTCTAAATTTACTACAGTAACTATCACTTTTATAATCAAAAAGAAGCACAACATGGTTTTTAAACAATCCCCAATATTCTCCAATGTCCCAAGAAAACATGAAAATTAGTTGAAATGACTGACATATTCCAGGAATCTCTGTATAAGTTAGCTGCTGTAAATATCAAGCCAAACACTTTAGAGAACTCCAAAAAGAATGGATCAGAATGGTTACAATAATTTTATTATGTTAGCGACAGATGTCAAACATGACATTCCTTTTAGAAACATCCTGGGAGAGAAATGAACCACTGACAGTGGAACTGCTTACATGACCTATTTGGGAGGAGAACAGTGGGACAGTTGAGAGTATGAGTGTTGGAGCCAAACAGACTTGGATGTAGCCCTGGATAACACACATGCTACCTGTGTCACCTTGAGTAAGTTAATTAGCTTCTCTCACATCAGTGTTTATTTCTAAAATAGGGATAATAACAGCACTCTCAGAGTTGATGTTTGCATTTGACGTCATACAGCGTATCAAGTACTCAGTATAGTGCAGGTGCCTAAGTGCTTAGTAAATGATCATTATTATTATTTTGACCCTTCCAGACAAGGCCACCTTCTAACCAAAAAATCACTCCAATTCCTTGAAGGGGATTCACCTCTGACCTTTTCATTGAAATCTTCTCCATTGTTTCAAGTTTCTAGTTGACCTCCCCGTATGACATGTTTTACTACCCCATGCCAAAATCTGTACAGAGCGCTTTAAAATGAAAAGTGGCTCTATTACAAACACTTGCAAGAGTAGAAAAAACAGCACTGGACAGATACTAAGATAGGAGGAAAACTGTTGGAGTTACTTGCAGTGGCCAATCCTATAAATCTCCTATACTGGAGAGGTTAATATGCTGAAGTGAGAGGCATCTGATTAGTGTGTGTGTGTGTGCGTCTGTGTGTATGTTTTCTATCTTCCCAGCACAAATTCATGAAAGGTCTCACTGCTAACCATTGAGATTGGAAATTTTCACCAGGCAAGGTGGCTCATGCCTGTAATCCCAGCACTTCGGGAGGCCGAGACAGGCAGATCACCTGAGGTCAGGAGTTCGAGACCAGCCTGTCCAACATGGTGAAATCCCATCTCTACTAAAAATATAAAAGTTAGGCATGGTGGCACACACCTGTAATCCCAGCTACTTGGGTGGCTGAGGCAGGAGAATCACTTGAACCTGGGAGGAGGAGGTTGCAGTGAGATGAGATCTCGCCATTGCACTCCAGCCCGAGTGACAAGAGTGAAACCTCATCTCAAAAAAAAAAAAAGAAAAGAAATTTTTATGGGAAGATGCCATCCATTAAATGGAATGGACTTGGTTACTATCAGGACTTCCTGATGATGTCAGCATAGAAGATAGCTCATTTCTCAGGACTTCCCATTGCGCTGTTACTGACAGGAAAAGCAAAACTGTCTTTGGCCCAACAGGCCAGCGCCGTTTATTTTATAATGTGATGGCATAAACTCGGCTGCTTATTTGTGTATTTATATAATTGGATGATTTGTAATGGGGGAGCCTCTCTCATTAGTGCAGCTTATAAAGACTCCCCCATAAACTGTTTCAGTGCTCATTTTTAGAATCATGAATAAAAATTTAGCTGATATCACTCTAACTGCAATTCTGATTTGGTTCAAAGACTCTTTTCAAAAAGGCGTACTTTTACTTATGTAGACTTAGCAGATGGCGTAATTATAAACTTAGGGTTGCAGAACTAGAAGTCTCTTGGCAACATCACGCTGTTTATCCTTTGTATACAAAGCATGGAAACCAAACCACAACTCAAAGAATCACCAAGAGTATCTGATTCTTAGCTGTGGTTTAGCTTCATAATTGGTCGAGCAAACCAACGTTGTCGTACCCAAGTGTATAAGTGTTGTTACAATAAAAAGGCAGTCCACAGCAGCACACAGAAAGGCTTTTTGTTATCTTAATATGTGATCTGCTAAGTAAACAGTATATTATGTTGATGTGTATCCTCTGTAAGAAAATGAATAATTTGAACTTCAAAGGATCACAAAGACTTATAATAGAAATATATTAAGTGTTGAAACTAAGATCTAATTAAGTAGCATGGTTTAGAAGGCATCCGTTTAGCATTTGATTGAAAAAATCTTCATTCTTAAATTTTGCTTTCTTTTTTCTTTTCTTCTTTTTTGGAAGACCTAGTGACCAATGGATTAATCAATAAACCCCAATCCCTAGAGAGTCGAGAGCGACAGAAGTCATCAGATATCCTGGAGGAACTAATTGTTCAAGGAATTATACAAAGCCACAGCAAAGTATTTAGAAATGGAGAATCATATGATGTCACGGCAAGTAATTTTGTAATTAACATTAGCTTATAGTTAAAATTAGCAATAGAATATGATTGATCATGAGTCATTATTTCCAGCATATGCAAGTTACAATACAGATAACAGCATTTATTTAAGTCAGATTTTTCTCCCTTAAATTCCCCCCACATCTCTGCACACCATCTCATATGGTTTGGTTCTGTGCTCCCACCCAAATCTCACCTTGAATTGTAATCCTCAGGTGTCAAGGGCGGGACCAGGTGGAGGTAATTGAATCATGGAGGTGGTTTCCCCTATGCTGTTCACATGATAGTGAGTGAGTCTCACAAAATCTGATGGTTTTATAAGTGTCTGGCATTTTCCCTGCTTGCACTCATTCTCTCTCCTACCACCTTGTGAAGAGGTGCCTTCCACCATGATTGTAAGTTTCCTGAGGCCTTCCCAGCCATGTAGAACTCTGAATCAATTAAACCTCTTTTCTTTATAAATTACCCAGTCTCAGGTATTTCCTTATAGAAATGTGAGAACAGACTAATACACCACCCTTCTTTGTGGACTCAGAAATTGCTCCAATTATTAATGATTAATTGATCCAGTAAAACACGTATTGGGTTTCACTAAATTTGAGAAACAATAGGCCCCACTGAATAACATACTTTCATTCTTTTGACAATTTTTCTTGAGCACTACCTATGTAATAGGCATTGTACAGGGCATTAGAAATGTAAAACTGAATCTGATTTATTCAGTAAGAAAATAGGCCTGACAAGTGTTTGAGGTGATGGATATGCTAATTACCCTGACTTGATCATTACGCATGTATCAAAACATCATACTGTGCCCTATAAATATATACAATTATGTGTCCATTAAAAATAAAGTAAAACTTTAAAAAAGAAAATAAATAGGACTAAATGCCAAAGCTAAAACAAATATGGCTATACATTTATCCATATGCACACCCCAAAATCAAACATGAGGAATTAAATAGAATTTCAGAAATTGCTGTACTATTATTTTTCTTTGTTAATTTATCCTGATTAATCTGTCATAGTTTTTCTTCAGCGTGAATAATATTTTTACTCTGGTTTTAACTAGCTTGGCTAAAGTCTAGAGTTCTAAATTTTTTTTTTTTTTTTTGAGATGGAGTCTTGCTTTGTCACCCAGGCTAGAGTGCAGTGGCACGATCCTGGCTCACTGCAACCTCTGCCTCCTGGGTTCAAGCGATTCTCCTGCCTCAGCCTCCTAGGCAGCTGGGGTTACAGGTGCCCACCATCAAGTCCAGCTAATTTTTGTATTTTTAGTAGAGACAGGATTTCACCATCTTGACCAGGATGGTGTTGAACTCCTGACCTCGTAATCCACCTGCCTCAGCCTCCCAAAGTTTTGGGATTACAGGTGTGAGCCACTGCATCTGACCGAGTTCTAAATTTTTAAATAAATTCTGCATAAACCTGTGAAGAAGATAGCAGACTTAGGTGTTGCTGTTATTTTGTTTTGTTTTCTTGTTTGTTTGGGTTTTTTTTTAAGCCAATGCTCCCAAGCACTACCAGTAGTCCTTGAAGTACAGGCAGAAGAGAGAAAGCGAAAAAAAAAGAAATAACAATGAAAAGAAGCCAGAGAATAAATGAATGAAAAAGAAAAGAAAGAAAAGGAAACGGTGGAAATAGAGACCAGAAATTACCCCAAAGGCTACTTAATGGTTGTCTATCCCTGTGTTGTAGGGAAAACAGTCCATTCGGAATTAAAAACTCATTATTTAAATCAAATTTGCCACCTAGACTGAGTCACTTAATGTTTGAATAAAGTTAATTTCCTTCTTTGTGTATGGGGAATGTTGAGAACTCATGAATAAAAGCCAAAGTGGCATTTTCTTTTGAAAAAGGAAAATAAATCCTGCAGAAAGTATTTGGGGGAAAGGAAAGGAGATTGCCAAACCTTGTGAATAACATTATCAGGCTGCCAATAATAAGAGGATGTCGGGGGGCGGGGGGAGGATGGAAAGGAAGGTAAAAATGGATTATATAATGGAAAAGATAATGCCAACATAATGACAATTTACATTTGCACAACGCTAGCATGATACAAGGCATTTTGGAGTGCCTTATCTTATTTGAAAGTGCTAGAAGAAGGGATGGGTTTTTAATATCAAAGGGGAGAGGAAAGATTTTTTTCTAGCTGTAGGTGAGTCTGTAGGGGTCAGGAAAAAAGAAGGCATGTCAAAAGAAAAAGGAAAGCAAGTCTGAGAGGAGGCAGATAGATTGTGGAAACATTCAGTAGCTAAGCAATGTCTTCTTAAGGGAAATGCTATAGACACTTCGATGTCTACATACATACACCAGTAGGAATCACATTAAAACATTCTCCGTGATTCAATTGCCAGAGATGAATGAGTTCTGACTTAGACTTTGCAATGGAGCCTGCAAGGTTAATTAATATAAACTACCTTGTGAAAGAGATGCACCTTTAAAAAAATAATAACTGTGGGCTGGACTTTTAATAACATCATTAAGTGAACCAAAGATGAAGACTATTTTTCATACTATGTAGGCATATAGAATGGTTGTTGGGAACGTTCTCAAAAGGATTTAAATGTGACAGCCTTCAGGAATAGCACAATTTTGTTTTTTTGGCTTTGGTATTAGGCCAAGATATCCCAACATAAGCCAGGCTTGCAACAGACCAGGCAGCAACACACAGCTCTCTTGTTTCATCGCCTAATCCAGTGGTCCTTAACCCGCCGGTACATTGGAGTCACCTGGGGATATTTCAAACATCCCAGTGCCTAGGTACCACTTCCGACCACACAGCCTGGGCGTGTGGCCCTGCTTTCACACTTCTGAAAGCTCCCAGGTGATTCCCATGGGCAGCCCGGTTGAGAACTACTGCCGTGAAGTTTCACCAAAACTCTACACAACGCTCTCAAATCCATTACCAAAGCTGGGAAGGGTTAAAGCTTTTGAAATCATTCTTGATTCCCTATTCATTGTGAAAGAGAATTCTGAAATATTCCTGAAAATATACCATTTCAGGAATAGGAACTAAGATTATACTCAGGAAGCCTAAGGAAATAAAAGAGATGCAGTTTCTGTGTCACGGATAAAACTTCTTTCAATTCAGAGGTAGCTGAGAACATATGTGTGTCAGACACCAGGTGTCTTGCATATTTTGGGAAGAGTTATGAGGCCAATGTAAAAAGATGAGAATGAATATTGAAGGACTGAGAGGGGAACCATATTAAGAATGGAAATATTATTAGATAATATTAATCATTAATAATATTAATACTTTGAATATCTAATGTTTAATAAGTTTTTTCAAACCCAGACTGATCAAACTGGCTAAAAACAAAACAAGAAGTCAAGGGAAACAAAAAAGGGATAGTCAAAACAAAGATATTATTATGTCAGCAGTTACTACAATGTGGTAAATCTTAACAGACATGTAAATATTATTTCTTCACTGCTCTAGGGAATAACATTCTTTTAAATAAAATATTATGGGAAAAATAGAATAAATGTGAAAATACTTTGAGTCTCATGCTCTACCAGCAGAACTAGCCAAGCAGCCAAAGAGAATAGTTTAAAAATAAGACTTCTTATGTGGGCCAATAGTATATTTACATACAAGGGCATTTCAGACTTAGATCTGGCTGCTTCTTAGCCAGGTCATTATCTTTCATTGAGTTATTTAGAGTGAAATTGAATAAAGGATGTTGAAAATTGAGGGTTCACCTTCATGAAGGTCCCTCATGAAGGTCCCTCTTCCGAATCGGGGGCATCCCCCATAAGCCAGTATCTCCCTAGAGGTAAGGGGAGGATCTGTGTCCACCACAGAGGCCCCTTTGTCTTTTTTCTTAATTTTCATCATAATCTTGCTGGTGAATACCACAGTAATTCCATAGTACTCTCTGGATAACCAGCTTTCGAGATGTTTATGCGAGAATATTTTATGTTTACTTAAGAGTTAAAATCAGGCTGGGCAAGATGGCTTATGCCTGTAATCCCAGCACTTTGGGAGACCAAGACAGGCAGATGGCTTGAGCCCAGGAGTTTGAGATCACCCTGGGCAACATGGTAAAACCCCATCTCTACCAAAAAAAAAAAAAATTAGCTGGGCATGGTGGTGTGCACCTGTAGTTACAGCTACTTAGGAGGCTGAGGTTGGAGGATCACTTGAGCCTGGAAGTTCGAGGCTGCAATAAGCCTTGATTATACCACTGCACTCCAGCCTGGGTGAAACAGCGAGACCCTGTCAAACAAAAAACCCAATTAAAAAAAAAAAAAGTTAAATGTGCTAGGCATGGTGGCTCACATTTGTAATCCTAGGGCTTTACGAGGCTCAGCTGGGAGCGTCCCTTGAGGCCAGGTGTTCAAGACCAGCCTGGGCAACATGGTAAGATGCCATTTCTACAAAAAAAAAAAAAAAAAATTAAGAGTTAAAGTGATATGTAAGAAATATAAGATTAAGAAGGTAAGTATCAGATTGTTGAGGGAATCTTTCAGTGTATTTTTAAACATTCTAATTAGACTTAACTGACTATATTGTAAACAAACATTGGTTTTACGTACACATGTCGATATGTATATGGATAGGTATAGACCTCTTTAGAGAGATGTGATTGGCTCTCATTTATCCACATAGGTATTATTGAGTTCGTCTTTTATCCCAAATTCATTTCTCCCCGCCACTTAGCACATCCTGGGTCTCCCTACCTGAGGCTCTGTGAATTCACTATTGACCTCTGTGTCTGGTCAAAGTTTATTCCCTTCTCTGTGTGACTTCTATACTTGGGAACCTGAAGTGTACTTGGAGAGTTTGTTCACATTGCATAAGAGTCTCTACCATTATTTGTTGAACCTCCTGGAGAATTTTTTAAGGAGGAGGAAGTTGACTGAGTTAGGACTCAATAACGCCAGCTAATGATCGGAGTGACCTTCCCCAGGAGGTCTAACAGTGATAAAACAAGAATGAAGGGCTGTTTTGCAGGATTGGCCTATTCTATCCACAAGACTCCTTTAAGGAAACAAAATGAAGACAGGTTCATCCGTAGGTCAATAGTTAATTAAGAAAGCTCTGAGGAATACACAGTGTATGTAAGAAGTAAAATATACAAGTTAGTAGCTAGAAACAGGACTCTAATCTAATTGCAGCATTTTGAACTTGGCAGTCCTCTGAAAGTATTCTTTAAGAAAATGATTGAACTGGTAACTTCTGTAGGTTGATTTTGTTGTTGTCAATGTGTTGTTGTTTCCACTGGTAACACCTCTCTAAGCATAAGGTGATCATTGTTTTATATATATATATATATATATATATATATATATATATTTTTTTTTTTTTTTTTTTTTTTTTTTTAAAGAGACAGGGTCTGACTACATTGCCCAGGCTGGTCTTGAATTTCTGAACTCAAGTGATCCACCTGCCTTGGCCTCCCAAAGTGCTGGGATTACAGCGTGAGCCACTGCGCCCAGCTCATTGTTAACGTTTTTAAGTTCCAACATTTGATAAATTCTGACTTCATAAAATTCAGTTGTAAAGAATACAGATATCTTTCTACAGGTTTTTTATTTTTTTACTTAAAATATGGAACTCAAGAAAGAACATGGCTTGCACAGGTAGGATTAACTTCCTCTGTGGGGAGGATCATTTTAAGATTAAGCCACGGGAAGAGGTGACCAAAACAGAAAAATCCAAGCTCTCTCAGAACTACTGATCTCAGAATTTTAGTCAAGGTTCAGGCTCCTATGTATAGCCTAATCTGGCATTTCTTTAGTGGATCTTGGATTACTACTTAATTTTCTTTTAGCCTTCTACGCATGAACATCCCTAAAAAATCATTTTCTTGCTAATTTCACAGTATCTCTAGTTGAGCCACCGTAGCAAGTATTTCCCTCTTTTCAGCGGGTGGTCTTTGCCAGCAGGAAACTTAGGAGCCAATTGTCATAAAAATAATACAAAATGATGATGGGAGAGGGAACTTCCTTTGACAAACATTCCACGGTTTTCAAGCAGTGAAAAACTTTGCACCCCATAAACCGTCCAATGGTTCTAAAGGAGCCAAAATGTCAATAAATGTTTTTTCTTTAGGAGACTTCCTGAGAATCATAGATTTTAAAGCTGAAAGGAAGCTTCACAGGCCTCTTGCCCCTTGCTGCTTCACAGTTGAGAAAATTGAGTCCAAAGAGAAGAGCTGCCTGGGTCTCCACTATGTGCTGGGCATTCCTGCCGCCCCAGAGTTGAAGCTCATGCCTGCTGCCTGATGATCCCCCCGGCTGTAGGCTCTCCTTCCTCCCCTCTGTGCTTTCGCCCCTTTCCGCTTTGTCCTGGTTATGAGTTTGTGTTCTGCCTTTGGAAGAAGTCACTGCTTTGACTGAATGAAAAGTAGCTATCATTTGCAGAGTGGCTACTTTATCCTTTTCTTTCTTTTTTAAAACCAATCCCAAAATATATGTTATTAAACTTATTTTACAAATGAGGAAACCATAGCTTGCAGAGTTTAAGGAATCATAGAGAGTCAATGCACACGCTGGGCGTGGAGGCTCACGCCTGTAATCCCAGCACTTTGGGAGGCTGAGGCAGGTGGAACACCTGAGGTCAGGAGTTCAAGACCAGCCTGGCCAACATGGTGAAACCCCGTCTCTACTAAAAATACAAAAATTAGCTGGGCGTGGTGGCACACACCTGTAATCCCAGCTACTTGGGAGGCTGAGGCAGGTGAATCGCTTGAACCCGGGAGGCGGAGGTTGCAGTGAGCCAAGATCGTGTCAATGCACTCCAGCCTGGGTGACAGGGCAAGACTAGGTCTCAACAAAAAACAAAAACAAAAAAACCCGTCATTCCATAGCCCAGCCAGGATTCAAACCCAGGGCTGACTAAGTCTCCGTCTGGTGCCTTGTTTTACTCTGCTAAACTGCCTCTCTTTGATTTATTTTCTTGGTACCTATAGCATTATAGTCTGGAGAAACAGTCTTTTAGAAATTACAATGAATATTAATAGCTCCTTTGTCTTTAAAAAAAGTCTTTAGAGAAATTATCTGGAACAATATTCAGTTCATTTTGTAATGCAGCCTTGGAGTTAACTACCCCCACCCAGTTGTAATAAATCTATATTTATATAGAAAGATGTCCATATTAAGTTAATTGAAGAAAGTTAATTGCAGAGCAGTGTATATAGTATAACTCCATTTAGGTTTTGTTTAACATTACAGATATCCTTAACATATATATGTGCAGAGTAGATATCTGGGAAGACACACACTGAACTCTTTACAAAGGTTCATGCTAAGGACTGGGATTGGGGGCCATGTGGTTAAATAGAGGATAAGGAGATGATTTATGTATCAGTTATATTTTTTATAATCAATCTATATTATCTTAAAACTAATTTTTAAAACAAAACACCTTAAAACTTTCTTCATAAATACTTTATGACAATTTTACTTATTTTGGAACTAGAAATTATAATTAGAAAGTCATCATTACTGCTTTGAACTGTTGAAAGGGTAGTTGATCATATGAAGTGGGATTTTTCCCCCGCTGTCATGAAAATGTTTGTCAAGTTCCTCCAGCAAAGCCCAGAACAGAGTTGTTGTTCAGTAATCGTTAATTATCTCTTTCTACCACAAAACCAGAAGCAATGAGAACTAATCTCTATCCCAGATGAAAGTAACTTGTAGCTTGTGGAATATTATAAAATCATCAGGTTGAACTCTTCACCTTAAACTACAAATTCACCCCCATTCTCCACTGCTTTTCATCTTATATTCATTCTCAAGATTTTTTCCTTCTAAGGGTTCATCTTCTATGCAGTCTGAGAACACCTGCATTCATAGGGCCTTTTTGTAATAGCCTGGTGCTTTTAAGGCATCTAAAAGATCTTATCGTTATAATTCTGTTGTTATCAACTTTCACGTTGGTTTTTTTAATCTGCGCCTGGAAAGTTAGATTTTTAGAATTTACTTTATTCATTTATTTATTTATTTATTTAGAGACAGGGTCTCGCTCTGTTGCCAAGGCTGGAGTGCAGTGGAACGATCTTGGCTCACTGCAACCTCCACCTCCTGGGCTCAAGCGATCCTCCACCCTCAGCCTCCCAAGTAGCTGGGACTACGGGCACACACCACCATGCCTGGCTAATTTTTTGTATTTTTGTAGAGACAAGGTTTCACTATGTTGCCCAGGCTGGCCTCAAACTCCGGAGCTCAAGCAGTCTTCCCACCTTGGCCTCCCAAAGTGCCGGGATTACAGGCATGAGCCACTGCACCCAGACTAGAATTTACATTTTAAACTGTTTATTCTAACTCTTTTGCCCTTCTCTTCTGCCAGTGAATATGATTGTTTCTTCATGTAAAAAGATGTTTTATTCCAGTTGACTACGACTGAGAAGCCATTGAGAAAGCCACCTTCCAGACTGAAAAAACTCAAGATCAAAAAGCAAGTGAAGGATTTCACAATGAAGGACATCGAGGAGAAGATGGAGGCTGCCGAGGAGCGCAGGAAGGTAGTGAGCTCTCAGATGCTCTAGGCTTGAGGAGTTCGCTGTCTGTTAAAATGATCTCACCCCAGAGCTTTCCTATCAGCAGTTTTAAGACAAACTGCATGGATCTATAATCAGTATTTTTTTTATTATTTTACTAATTTTTTTAAAAGACAAAGTCTCACTATGTTGCCCAGGCTGGAGTACAGTGGCATGCTCAGAGCTCACTGCAATCTTGAACTTTTGGGCTCAAGCGGTCCCCCTGTCTCCGCCTCCTGAGTAGCTAGGACTACAGGCCCATACCACTACATGAGGCTGATTTAAAAAAAAAAAAAAAATTGTTGGCCAGGCGCGGTGGCTCACGCCTGTAATCCCAGCACTTTGGGAGGCCGAGGCAGGCGGATCACGAGGTCAGGAGATTGAGACCATCCTGGCTAACACGGTGAAACCCCGTCTCTACTAAAAATACAAAAAATTAGCCGGGCGTGGTGGCGGGCGCCTGTAGTCCCAGCTACTCGGGAGGCTGAGGCAGGAGAATGGCGTGAACCCGGGAGGCAGAGCTTGCCGTGAGCCGAGATTGTGCCACTGCACCCCAGCCTGGGTGACAGAATGAGACCCCGTCTCCAAAAAAAAGAAAAAAAAAATTGTTTAGAGATGGGGTCTCATTATGTAGCCCAGGCTGGTCTTAAATTTCTGGCCTCAAATGATTCTCCTGCCTTGGTCTCCCAAAGTGTTGGGATTACAGACATCAGCCTCTGTGCCTGGCCTGTAGCTAGGATTTTAACGATCTTTATGCTTTTTATTATATGCTATATGTTTCGTGGTTTTTCTTAAAAATTTCCTTTCTGTTGTAAAGGAATAAAGCAGGTTGGGTGAAAACTACGGTTTCATCCATATAGCCTAAGTAAGCAACATCCAGTTCTTGGAATTAAATGAAGTACGGAGTGTTCTTCATATGGAAAAAGAGAAACTTCAGTTGAGGCTGGGGGCAGGAGTAAAGGCAGGGTTGAGGTGCGGCGTTAAACTGAGAGAAGCTGCTGCAGAGCATCAGGCTGCATTACTCCTGCTGCATTTTCACCAAGGGCCCCCACAGCCCTCCACGCGCCCTTGGCCAGACCCAGCCTTCACAGCTGGGTCTGACAGCCTTCATTTCCCAGCTCTCTAATTGGCCTATCAGAGAGCAAGGACCAGACTCCAAGCTCCATGAGGGCAGGCCCCGTGTCTGCCTTCTTCAACAAGAGTTTCTCAACAAATGTCTGTTATTTGACTGAATGATGACATAGAGAAGCCATGAATGTTCAATACAAGCAACATTAATCACAACTTGGAGAAAGTTATTCACGCTCTTTTTCATTCTTTAATACTGCATTTCAGACTAAAGAAGAAGAAATAAGAAAAAGGCTACGGAGTGACCGACTTTTGCCTTCAGCCAATCACTCAGATTCAGCTGAATTAGATGGGGCCGAGGTTGCATTTGCCAAAGGACTTCAAAGGGTGAGGTCTGCTGGATTTGAACCATCTGACCTGCAGGGAGGAAAACCATTGAAGAGGAAGAAGAGTAAATGTGATGCAACCTTGATTGATAGAAACGAAAGTGATGAAAGTTTTGGGGTCGTGGAGTCAGACATGTCCTACAACCAAGCAGATGACATAGTCTACTAAGCCATTTTTTGTGAATTTCATAAGAAAGCATTCATTCTCCCCATTTGTGACATTTGTAGTATGTCTCATATTCTTTGACTGACTGACCTCATTCCACTGGGATTTCTGCCTTGGGCTTAAGGATGATTGTGTGGGCTGCACAGGCTGAAGGTTAGTTGAGTAAATTAAGTAGCTATGCTAGCTTTTAAAAAAAGAGCGAGGGGGAGACTTGACCAGCATAGATATTTGGCACTCTCCTTTGTGTGGCTTCAAACATTATGGAGATGTCTTTAATTCATTTATAAGTGCCTTCAGTTTACATTAATAAGTTCGTGCCAAATGAAATCCTTCCTGTTTACTCCTGCCTTGTGGCGGGGTCCATCCTCTGCTGCTCCTTTAAAACAAATTGCATGGATTTGTATTAAGTATTTTAATGGCTTATATGTTTTTTATGCTGTATGTCTATGGTTTTATAATTTTTTTCTCTGTGTTGTGAAGGAATAAAGCAATGTCTTGAAGTTGGCTGAATTACAGTTTTATCCACATAGTTTAAGTTAGCAATATCTAATTCTCAGAATTACATAGAGTTTTCTTCTTGTGAAAACAGAAGAACTTCAGTTGAGGCTAGGGATGGAAGGAAGTTGTGAGGGTGCGGGTAGACTGGGAGTCAGCCCTGCTACCAGTGTCTGTCTTCCCTGCAGACATGCTGAGCTGAGAAGCTGCTGGTCCTCATCTTATTGAATTATACCTTGGTTCTTCCCTCCCTTACCACTCACATCCAATCAATTATCTGGTCTTATGATTCTAGATGCTTTTTTTTTTTTTTGGAGACAGGGTCTCACTTTGTCACCCAGGCTGGAGTACAGTGACATGATCTTGGCTCACTGCAGCCTTGACCTCCTGGGGCTCAAGCGATCCTCCCACCTCAGATCCTCAAATAGCTAGGACTACAGGCATGCATCACCACACCTGGCTAATTTTTTATAGAGACGGGGTTTCGTCATGTTGCCCAGGCTGGTCTCAAACTTCTGAGCTCAAGCAATCCACCCACCTCATTTGCTTGCAAACACATATCAAAAATCAGTGAGTGGCAAGTGACAATGAAGCTGTATCTGGTGGCAGGCTTTAGAGTGGCAAGTGAGTTGATGTTCTTGAATCGTACAGCTGCATCTGGTGGCCTTAAAAGTATGTTTGAGGCAACTTCAAATCTCCATATGTTCTGAATTAAAGTCCAGGCGGAATATCCTGACATCGCCACAAAAGCACTGAAAAGCCTGCTTCCATTTCTAGCATCCCATCTTTGTGCAGCAGGGTTTTCTGCAGTGACAGCAAACAAAATGAGATTATGGAGTAGACTGGACATAAGCAACGCATTTCAGATGTCACTGTCTCCCATCACCTCAGATGGGACCATCTAGTTGCAGGAAAACAAGCTCAGGGCTCCCACTGATTCTACATTATGGTGAGTTGTATAATTATCTCATTATATATAACAGTGTAATAAGAAGAGAAATAAAGTGCACAATAAATGTAATGCACTGGAATCATCTTGAAACTATCCACACCCCCTCCCCGACATTCATGGGAAAATTGTCTTCCACGAAACCAGTCCCTGGTGCCAAAAAGGTTGGGGACCTCTGTTGTATGTGTTTGTATAGCCTATAGGACTTCAAACACCTACAGCCAGTGAGGTATGATGGTGGTGGCAGAAGGGGGTTGAGGGGCTTCTTCAAAACTCACTGGAAAGCCGAAACCTTTAGAGTCAGTCTACTTCTTACAATGTGACCCTGAGGCATGCAGGCTCTCTGTGTCTCAATTACCTTACATGTTAATTTGGGATAGCCACTGTCACAGAGTTGAATCAGATGAAATAATGTGTTTAAAGATACTGTGTAACTGCTTGCCTGGTTCAGCAGACTGAGTTGTCCCACCCCTTCTATGCAGATATCTTGATTCAGGGGTGCCCTGTCCACTCCATGCCCAGACAGCTCTCCAGGCATTCGGAACACCCACTCACCTGGAACAGCAGCCTGAATCACCCCACCCTTCCTGTGCAGAGATCTTGGTGCAGAGGGGCCCTCTCTGCTCTACTCCCAGGCAGATCTTCAGGCATCTGGGGCACCTAATCTCCTGCATTAGGAATTTGGGCTAACTCCCATCCCTGTGCAGAAAACTTGGGACTGAGGAGGTTTCCCAGCTCCACACCTAGGCACAACTCTGGATGCTTGGTGGCCACCCACTAGATTATCCCTCAGAGCTTGTGCTTGTGTCTGCCACTAGGGAATGTGCAGGCAAACCTGCCTGGTCTGGCCCCACCCATCATGGCCCCTGCCCCTGCCCCCTCCAGGGCTGCATAGGGGAGCTCAGACCACTGTGAATTCCACAAATCACCCCATTGCCTAAGGCAACAGAGAGCTTCTGCAACAAACAAAGATCAAGTATATACACAGCCATATTGGCTGGCTCCTACCTATAAGTGCCATCTAAGGGCTTGTAGGTCAAACTGCACAGCCCAATATAAAACCTGCTGAAAGAAATGCATAGGGCTATATAGAAGCAAAGCCAAAAGACCCTACCCTGTTGGGGTACAGTACAGTTCCTCTACAGTAACAGGAACTGTACAGGGAGAAGGGGGGAAGGAAATGGAAAGAAAAAAACACAATATTATAGGAAAACAAAGAAAAAGAAAAAACCCTATCTTCAGGAAAATAATAACACAAATTAGAAGTGCCAGTATCTCCAGATGAGAAGGAACCAGCACAAAGATTCTGTGCCATGAAAAATCTGAATATAGTGACAAACCAAAGGATTGCACTAGCTCTCCAGCAATGGTTTCTAAATAAAACGGAAACTCAGAAATACAGATAAAGAATTCAAAGCATGGATTGCAAGGAAGCTCAATGAGATACAGGACAAGATTGAAAAGTGGTACAAAGAAACTTCTAAAGCAATCCAGAAAATAAAGGAAGTGATGAACATCTTAAAAGAAATCAATCAGAGCTTCTGAAATTGAAAAACTCAAAGAATTTCAAATACAACTGAAAGCTTTATCAATAAACTGAACAAAGCAGAAGAAAGAATTTCAGACTTTAAAGGTTGGTCTTTCAAATCAACCCAGTCAGACTAAAATAAAGAAAAAATAAATTTTAAAAATGAACAAAGTATTTGAGAAATATGGGATTATGTAAAATGGCAAAACCTATGAGTTACTGGTATTCCTGAGAGAAAAAGGGAAACAGCAAAAAACCTGGAAAACATATGTAAGGGAATAATTCAAGAAATTTTCTCTGATCTTGCTAGATAGGTAAATATCCAGATACAAGAAATCCAGAGAACACCTGCATGATACTATACAAAATGATCACCAAGGCATTTGGTCACCAGATTGTCCAAGTCAATATTTAAAAAACAAACAAACAAAAAAAAACTTAAAGGCAGCTAGAGAAAAATGTCAGATCATGTACAAAGGGAACCCCATGAGGCTAATAGCAGACTTCTCAGCAGAAATATTACAAGCCAGGAGAAATTGGGGGCCTATTTTCACAATTCTGAAAGA
Organism: Homo sapiens; assembly: GCF_000001405.40. Lineage (NCBI taxonomy): Eukaryota > Metazoa > Chordata > Mammalia > Primates > Hominidae > Homo > Homo sapiens. The sequence continues at coordinate 17,134,417 of NC_000006.12, forward strand.
AAAGAAAATCCAAATAAGAATTCCATATCCTGCCAAACTAAGCTTCATATGCATAGGAGAAATAAAATCTTTTCCAGATGAGCAAGCACTAAGGGAATCTGTTACCACTAGACCAGCCTTACAGGAGATTTGTACTGGAATTCTAAACATGGAAATAAAAGAACAATACCTACTACCAAAAAAATGCACTTAAGTTGACACAGACCTTATAACTACACAATAGAAACTGCAAAGCAACCAGCTAACAACTTCATGATAGAATCAAAACCTCACATATCAATATTAACCTTAAATGTAAATGGTTTAAACCTTCCATTTAAAAGGCACAGAGAAGCAAATGGATAAAATAACAAGACACAAGACCCATCTATCTGCTGTCTCAAAAGACCCATCTCACACGTAATGACACCCACAGGCTCAAAGTAAAGAGTTGGGGAAAGATCTACCACAAAAACAGAAGATAAAAAAAAGAGCAGGGGTCACTATTCTTATATCAGATAAAATAGACTTTAAACCAACAATAGTAAAAAAGGACATAGAAGGACATTGCATAATGACATAGGGTTTAATTCAATAAGAAGACTTAACTATCCTAAATGCATATGCACCCAATATTGGAGCACCCAGATTTATAAAGCAAGTACTTCTAGACCTATGAAAAGAGTTAGACAGCCACACAATAATAGCAGGGGATTTCAACACCCCACTGACAGCATTAGACACATTATTGAGGCAAAACACTAACAAAGAAATTCTGGACTTACACTCAACACTTAATCAATTGGACCTAATAGATATCTACAGAATGAATACATCACCCATTAACCACAGAATATACATTCTTCTCATCTGCACATAGAACAGACTCCACGATTGACCACATTATCAACCATAAAGCAAGTCTCAATACGTTTTTAAAAAATTGAAATTATACCAACCATACTCTTGGACTACAGTGGCATAAAAATAGAAATAGATATCAAGAATACCTCTCAAAATCACACAATTACATGGAAATTAAACAACTTGTTCCTGAATTGCTTTTGGGTAAACACAAAATTAATGCAGAAATTATTTGAAATAAATGAAAACAGAGACACAACATACCAAAATGTGTGGGATTGCAGCAAAAGCAGTGTTAAGAGGTAAATTTAAAGCATTAAATGCCTACCTCAAAAAGTTAGAAATATCTCAAAAATGATCTCACATCACACCTAGTAGAACTAGAGAAACAAGAAACAACTAACCCCAAAGCTAGCAGAAGAAAAGAAATAAATCAGAATGGAACTGAACGAAATTGAGACCCAAAAATCCATACAAAGAATCAATGAAACCAAAAGGTAATTTTCAGAAAGAATAAGCAAGATCAATATATGGATAGCTACATTAACAAAGAAGAAAAGATCCAAATAAGCAAACTCAGAAACAACAAAGGTGACATTACAACTGATCCCACAGAAATACAAAAGATCCTCAGAGACTATTATGAACAACGCTGTGCCCAAAAACTAGAAAATTTAGAGGAAATGGATAAATTCCTAGAAACACACGATCTTCCAAAATTGAATCAGGAAGAAATTGAAACCTTGAACAGACCAATATCTAGTTCCAAAATTGAATCAATAATAATAATTTTAAAAACCTACCAACCAAATAAAGCCCCAGACTAGATGGATTCACAGTGGAATTCTCCAGATATACAAAGAAGAGCTGGTACCAATTCCACTGAAACTATTCCAAAAAAAATGAGGAGGAGGGACTGCTTCCTAACTCATTCTACAAAGCCAGCAAAAATCTAACTCATTCTACAAAGTCAACAATTAAAAAAGAAAACTATAGGCCAATATTCCTGATGAAAATAGACATGAAAATCCTCAACAAAATACTAGAAAACCAAATCCAACAGCATATCAAAAAGTTAACTCATCAAGATCAAGTAGGCTTCATTCCTAGGATGCAAGATTGCTTCAACATATGCAAATCAATAACAGTTATTCACCACATTAACAGATTAAAAACAAAAACCATATGATCATCTCAACAGGCATGGAGAAAGCTTTTCATAAATCTAACATCTCTTCATGATAAAAACCCTCAAGAAACTAAGCATCAAAGGAACATACCTCAAACTAATAAGAGCCATCTATGACAAACCCACAGTGAACATCATGCTGAATGGGCAAAAACTGGAAGCATTTCCCCCTGAGAATTGGAACAAGGCAAGGATGCCCACTCTCACCACTCCTATCCAATATAGTACTGGAAGTGCTAGCCAGAGCAAGCAGGCTAGAGAAGGAAATAAAAGGCATCTAAATAGAAAAAAAAAAAAGAAAAGAAAAGAAGTCAAACCATCTCTCTTCACAGATGTTAAGATTCTACACCTAGAAAAGCCTAAAAAGACTCCACCAAGAAGTTACTGGAACTAATAAATGACTTCAGTAAGGTTTCAGGATGCAAAATCAATGTATAAAAATTAGTAGCATTTTGGCCGGGCGTGGTAGCTTATGCCTGTAATCCCAGCACTTTGGGAGGCCAAGGTGGGTGGATCACGAGGTCAGGAGATCGAGACTGTCCTGGCTAACACGGTGAAACCCCGTCTCTACTAAAAATACAAAAAATTGTCTGGGCATTGTGGTGGGCACCTGTAGTCCCAGCTACTCCAGAGGCTGAGGCAGGAGAATGGCATGAGCCCGGGAGGCAGAGCTTGCAGTGAGCCGAGATCGTGCCACTGCACTCCAGCCTGGGTGACAGAGCGAGACTGCATCTCAAAAAAAAAAAAAAAAAATTTCAGTGGCATTTCTATACACCAATAACGTTCATGCTGAGAGCCACATCAAGAACACAATCCCATTTACAATTACCATTCACAAAAACAAAATACCTAGGAATACATCTAACCAAAGAGGTGAAAGATTTCTACAAGGAGAACTATAAAACACTGCTGAAAGAAATTATAGATGACACAAACAAAAGGAAAAACATTCCATGCTCATGGATTGGAAGAATCAATATTGTTAAAAAAGCAATACTGCCCAAAGCAATTTACGGATTCAACCCTATTCCTATCACAACTATCAACTAGAAAAAGTATCCTAAATTCCATAGAACTAGAAAAAAACTATTCTAAAATTCATATGGAACCAAAAAAGAGCCTGAATAGCCAAAGCAATCCCAAGCAAGAAGAACAAAGCAGAAGGCATCACACTACCTGACTTCAAACTATACTAGAGGCTACAATAACCAGAACAGCATGGGACTAGTAGAAAAACAGAGACATAGACCAATAGAACAGAATACAGAACCCAGAAATAAAGCTGCACACTTACAACCATCTGACCTTTGACAAAGTTGACAAAAATAACCAATGAGGGAAAGGACTCCCTATTCAATAAATGGTGCTGGGATAGCTCGCTATCCATATGCAGAAGAATGAAACTGGACTCCTACCTTTCACCATTGACAAAAATTAACTCAAGATGGATCAAAGAGTTAAAGATAAGACTTCAAGCTATAAGAATCCTAGAAGAAAACCTAGGAAACACCATGCTGGACATCAGCCTTGGGAAACAATTTAAGACAAAACCCTCAAAAGCAACTGCAACAAAAGCAAAAATTGACAAGTGGGAGCTAATTAAACTAAAGAACTTCTACACTGCAAAATAACTATAATCAAAGTAAACAGACAACTTACAAATTGAGAGAAAATATTTATGCATCTGACAAAAGTCTAATCTCCAGAATCTATAAGGAATTTAAACAATAGAACAAGCAAAAAACAAACAACTCCATTAAAAATGGGCAAAACACATGAACAGACACTTCTCAAATGAGGACACACAAGTGGTCAACACGAAAAAAAAATGCTCCACATCACTAATCATCAGAGAAATGCAAATCCTAACCACAGTGAGATACCATCTCACACCAGGCAGAATAGCTACGATCAAAAAGTCAAAAAACAACAGATGCTGGCAAGGTTTGTGCAGAAGAATGTTTATACACTTGGTGGAATGCAAATTAGTTCAGACACTATGGAAAGCAGTTTGGAGATTTCTCAAAGAACTGAAAACAGAACTACCATTTGACCCAGCAATCTCATCACTGAGTGTATGTCCAAAAGAAACAAATCTTTCTACCAAAATGACACATGGACTCGTATGTTCATTGCAGCACTCTTCACAATAGAGAAGACATGGAGTCAACCTAGGTGCCCATCAATGGTGGACTGCATAAAGACAATATGGTATGTATACACTGTGGAATACTATGTAGCCATAAAAAAGAAGGAAATCATATCCTTTGCAGCAACATGGAGGGAACTGGAGGCCATTATCCTAAATGAGTTAACACAGGAACAGAACACCAAATACCACATGTTCTCACTTATAAGGGGGAGCTAAACATTGGGTACTCATGTACATAAAGATGGCAATAGAAACTAAGGACCACTAGATGGGGGAAGAAGGGAAGGAAGCAAGGATTGAAAAACTAACTATTGGGTACTGTTCTCAGTATCTAGGTGATGAAATCCCTCATAGCCCAAACCTCAGCATCATGCAATATACCCATGTAACAAACCTGTGCATGTGCCCCCTAAATCTAAAATAAAAGCTGAAAAAAATAAGTAAAATTTAAAACTTAAAAAAAACTATGTCAGATTTAAAACATAAATAAATAATAAAAGTATCATATAAACTAGAATATGCCACTATTTTTATGTCATGTAAGTTATCTAAAATTCTGTGTAAGCAACATGATGTTTTCCATCCATCCTGAGGTTTTTCTATGGAAGGGTTCATATGGTGGCATGTGTCAATCTTATAAAATATTAGAGTTGCTAAAATAATTGTACAAGGACAATTTTAAAAAGATTTGGGTATCATTCACATCTCTGCAAATAATAAAATTTAAATGACCACAAAATATGTTCAACACAAATTTATAGTACTTCCAAATTAAATTCCCAAATTTGACAAATACTGAAATAATATTTTCTCTTGAAATCTTATGCTCTTGCCTATGTTATTTATAGCGGCTCAGATGACATGTTCATTTCATTAAAATCTATATGGTAGGCCAGGCGCAGTGGCTCACACCTGTAATCCCAGCACTTTGGGAGGCCAAGGCAGGCAGACCATGATGTCAGGAGATCGAGACCATCCTGGCTAACACAGTGAAACCCTGTCTCTACTAAAGATACAAAAAATTAGCCGGGCATGGTGGCGGGCACCTGTAGTCCCAGCTACTCGGGAGGCTGAGGCAGGAGAATGGCATGAACCCAGGAGGCAGAGGTTTCAGTGAGCCAAGATCGCACCACTGCACTCCAGCCTGGGTGATAGAGTAAGACTCTGCCAAAAAAAAAAAAAAAAAATCTATATGGTATAAATGTGAACATTATCATTGATATCCTGACTTGAAAACCTCTCTACATATGTAGAGTTACATATGCAAAAGACAAACCCATCCTAACTGATAATCTGTATATTTTCTTAGTGACTTATATATATAAATGATATATATCATCATTTATATGATGATATCATTTATATAATTATATCACTAGGAAAATATACAGATTATCATTTGTTATATATTTATAAAATAGAAATTACTTTGTATTACTTTGTATATTTACTTAGTGATATCATTTTCACAGGATGGGAAGAGTGATTATTAGACTGCAGAATGCCTGTATCCCAGAAACGTCTCTAAAGTTCCAAGTGCATTACTACTCACAAAAACCATCTCAGGGTTTGGAGATGAGGAAACAGAGATCAGAGACTCTGAGCAACTTCCCACCCTCACAGAGCCATTACCATCATCCAGGGAGGGAGTTTGTATTTGAATACTACTCTGCCTTCAAAATGCTATCAATTCCGTTACTCCAATATTTTTTAAAAACTTCAAATGTATATGTGGCTTTTTCCCTGATCATCTTTCTTTTCTTTCTTCTTAAAGGATGATTTGTACTGCTGAGTAATCTAAAAGAAAGATTGAGATATCTATAACAGAGCCTCTGGAATAACGTCAATTTTTTGTATCAAAATAATGTTGGTTTTCTAATGCTTAAAAGCTAAATATTTGAACAGCCGCCAGGGTATTTCAACTAAAATCAAACCACAACCTTCAGGTAGTTATGAGGCAGGGAACACATCATTAGGTAAATCTTTATAATCATCTGAATTGGTAGCAACTGAAAAATGCCTGTATAGTTTTCCTTGTGTAAGGGGACCTTGCTGTGTCTAACAGAATGTACTTTGATACTTAGCAATTCTTTAATTTTAGGTGGGAAAAAATACTTATGGATAACTCATATTTAAGGTAATATATTTAAAATAATATTTGAGGTGTATTTTTAAATATTTCACATATATTTGAAATAACTCACATTGTGAGATACTTGGTTTGCAAAAGTAATTTTGTAATCACAGGGATAAAATCAGATTTATCACAGTGTTGCTATAGTGACTACCAGAAATCTATGACTGTGCCTATTTCTGTGTTTGTTATTTCATTATCAGTAAATAGCTAGTATTTGAAGAAGTGTTTATACAGTAAGTACTATATTCTAAAGATGTGTAATGCTCAGTTGTGTCAGTGTATACATCACTTTTGCATCCACATAATCTGTATACACAAAACCTTCATGTAGGGCAGAGTGGAGCCTGTATCTCAGACAGCTCAGTAAAGGGCATTATTGTAAAATAAACTGTGAGACCTGACAGTTATATTCTCTTTGTGTCGCTTGTATCTGCTTTTTAAAAATAATAGCTGCCTCTTTGGTTTTTAAAAATTACATGAATAATATGTAATAGGAAATATTTGAAACCGTGGCAGGGCTCGGTGGCTCACACCTGTAATCCCAGCACTTTGGGAGGCCGAGAAGGGTGGATCACAAGGTCAGGAGATCGAGACCATCTTGGCTAACACAGTGAAACCCCGTCTCTACTAAAAATACAAAAAATTAGCCAGGCGTGGTGGCAGGTGCCTGTAGTCCCAGCTGCTTGGGAGGCTGAGGCAGGAGAATGGCATGAACCTGGGAGGCGGAGCTTGCAGTGAGCCGAGGTCGCACCATGGCACTCCAGCCTGGGTGACAGAGCGAGACTCCATCCAAAAACAAAAAAAAAACCATCAGAAGCAAACGACACCAAGAATCAAACACTTTCCCCTCCCCTTAAAATAACTGCAGCAACATTTTTGTATTTCAATAGTTTTTGGGGAACAGGTGGTATTTGATTTCATGGATAGGTTTCTTTAGTGGCAATTTCTGAGGTTTTTGTGCACTCACCACCCAAGCCAGTGTACACTGCACCCAATATGTACTCTTTTATCCCTCACCCATCTCCCACCCTTTCCCTTGAGACCCCAAAGTCCATTCTGTCATTCTTATACTTTTGTGTCCTCATGGCTTAGCTCCGACTTATGAGTGAGAACATATGACGTTTGGTTATCTGTTCCTGAGTTACTTCACTTAGAATAATGGTCTCCAAATTGACCCAGGTTGCTGTGAACATTCTTTCATTCCTTTTTATGGCTGTGTATATATATATCTCTCTCACATTTTTCCTTATCCATTCATTGATTAATTGGCATTTGGGCTGATTCCATATTTTTGCAATTGTGAATTGCTATTAATTCAAGTATCTTTTACGTATAATGACTTCTTTTCTCTGGGTAGATACTCAGGAGTGGGATTGCTGGATCAAATGGTAGATCTACTTTTAGTTATTTAAGAAATCTCCACACTGTTTTCCATAGTGGTTGTACTAGTTTACAGTCTCACCAGCAGTCTAAAAGTGTTCCTTTTCACCTTATCCACACCAACATCTATTTTTTTCATTTTTTGATTATGGCCATTCTTGGAGGAGTAAGGTGGTATCACGTTGTGGTTTTGATTTACATTTCCATGATAATTAGTTATGTGGAGCATTTTTTCATTGGTTGACCATTTGTATATCTTCTTTTGAGAACTGTCTATTCATCTCCTTAGCCCACTTTTTGATGGGACTGTTTGGTTTTTTCCTGCTGATTTGTTTCAGTTACTTGTAGATTCTGGATATTAGTCCTTCATTGGATACATAGTTTGCAAAGATTTTCTCCCACTCTGTGGGTTGTCTGTTTACTCTGCTGATTATTTCTTTTGCTGTGCAGAAGTTTTTTAGTTTAATCAAGTCCCATCTGTTTATCTTTGTTTTTGTTGCATTTGCTTTTAGGTTCTTGGTCATGAAGTCTTTGCCTAAGCCAATGTCCAGGAGGGTTTTTCTGATATTATCTTCTAGAATTTTTATGGTTTCGGATCTTAGATTTAAGTCTTTGATCCATCTTGAGTTGATTTTTGTATAAGGTGAGATATGAGGATCCAGTTTTATTCTTCTTCATTCCTGTTGGACTAGTCCTTTTATCATATAATGATAAGGGGCATTATCATATAGTGTCCCTCTTTGTCTTTTTTAAAGTCTGGGTTTTTTTGTTTGTTTTTTTGTTTTGTTTTGTTTTGTTTTGTTTTGTTTTGTTTGAGATGGAGTCTCGCTCTGTTGCCCAGGCTGGAGTGCAGTGGTGCGGTCTTGGCTTACTGCAACCTCCGCCTCCTGAGTTCAAGTGATTCTCTTGCGTCAGACTCCCAGGTAGCTGGGATTACAGGTGCCCGCCACAAGGTCTGGCTAATTTTTTGTATTTTTAGTAGAGACGGGGTTTCACAATGTTGGCCAGGCTGGTCTCGAACTCCTGACCTCGTGATCCGCCTGCCTTGGCCTCCCAAAGCTCTAGGATTACAGGCATGAGCCACTGCACCCAGCCCTAAATTCTGTTTCATCTGAAATAAAAATAGTTACCCCTGCTCCTTCTTTGGTGTCCATTTGCATGGAACATCTTTTTCCACCCCTTTACCTTATGTGAGTCCTTATGTGTTAGGTGAGTCTCTTGAAGACAACAGATATTTGGTTGGAAAATTCTTGTCCATTCTGCCATTGTATTTTTTAAGTAGAGCATTTAGGCCATTTACATTCAACATTAGTATTGAGATGTGAGGTATTATTCTATTCATCATACTAGTTGTTGCCTGAATACCTTGTTTTTTTTTTCATTGTGTTATTGTTTTATAGGTCCTGTGAGATTTGTGCTTTAAGGAGATTCTATTTTGGTGTATTTCAAGGATTTGTTTCAAGATTTAGAGCTCCTGTTAGCAGATCTTGTAGTGTTGGCTAGGTAGTGGCAAATTCTCTCAGCATTTGTTTGTCTGAAAAAGACTGTATCTTTCCTTCATTTATGAAGCTTAGTTTCACTGGATAAAAAATTCTTGGCTGATAAATATTTGGTTTAAGGAGGCTAAATATTGGACCCGCATCTGTTCTGGCTTGTAGGGTTTCTGCTGAGAGATCTGCTGTTAATCTGATAGGTTTTCCTTTATAAGTTACCTGGTGCTTTTGCCTCACAGCTCTTAAGATTCTTTCCTTTGTCCTGACTTTAGATAACCTGATGACTATGTACCAAGGCAATGATCTTTTTGCAGTGAATTTCCCAGGTGTCCTTTTAGCTTCTTGTATTTGGATGTCTAAATTTCTAGCAAGGCCAGGGAAGTTTTCATTGATTATTCCTTCAAACATGTTTTCCAAACTTTTAGATTTCTCTTCCTCAGGAACACCAATCATTCTTAGGTTTGGTCATTTAACATAATCTCAACCTTCTTGGAGGCTTTCTTCTTTTTTTGTTCTCTTTTCTTTGTCTTTGTTGGATTGGGTTAATTTGAAAACCTTGTCTTCAAGCTCTGAAATTCTGTCTTCTGCTTGTTTGATTCTGTTGTTGAGACTTTCTAGTGTATTTTGCATTTCTTTAAGTGTGTCCTTCATTTCCAGAAGTTGTGATTGCTTATTATTTATGCTATGTATTTCTCTGGAAATGTTTTCATCCATATTCTCTAACTTTTTTTAAATTTTCTTTAAGTCGGTATTCACCTTTCTGTGGTGCCTCCTTGAATAGCTTAATAATTGACCTTCTGAATTCTTCTTCTGGCAATTCAGAGATTTCTTCTTGGTTTGGATCCATTGCTGGTGAGCTAGTGTGATCTTTGGGGGTGTTAAAGAACCTTGTTTTGTCATATTACCAGAATTGTTTTTCTGGTTCCTTCTCATTTAGGTAGACTATGTCAGAGGGAAGATCTGGGACTCAAGAGCTGTTGTTCAGATTCTTTTGTCCCATAGGGTGCTCCCTTGATGTGGTGTTCTCCCTCCTTCCTCTAGGGATGGGGCTTCCTGAGAGCCAATCTGCACTGATTGTTGTTTCTCTTCTGGGTCTAGCTACCCAGCAGAGTTACCAGGCTCCGGGCTGGTACTGGGGAACATCCGTAAAGAGTACTGTGTCTGTCTTTAGGTCTCTCAGCCATGAATATCAGCATCTGCTCCAGTGGAGGTAGCAGGGGAGTGAAGTGGACTCTGTGAGAGTCCTTGGTTGTAGTTTTGTTTAGTGTGTTGCCTTAGTGTTGGTTGACCTCCAGCCAAGAGGTGGCACTTTTAAGAGAGCATCAGCTGCAGTAGTGTAGGGAGGATAAAGCTTGCCCTAAAGTTGCCTGGATAAGTATTGAGGTTTCTCAGGTGGTGGGCGGGGCCACAGAGCTCCCAAGAGATTATGACCTTTGTCTTTGGCTACCAGGGTGGGTAGAGAAAGACCATCATGTTGGGCAGGGCTAGGCATGTCTGAGCTCAGACTCTTCTCGGGCTGCTGTGGGGGTTGGGTTGTGGTTCTCAGGCTGATGGAGTTATGTTTCCAGTGGGGTTATGGCTGCCTCTACTGCATCATGCAGGTCTCCCGGGGAGTGGGGAAAAGCTGGTAGTGACAGGCCTCACCCAGCTTCCACGCAGCCAGCAAGGCCATTCTCACTCCAACTGTGTCCCCTCGACAGCACCAAGTTTATTCCCAGGCAGCCAGTGAGCAGGGCTGAGATCTTGCCCCAGGCTACAAGCCTCCCCACTGAGAAAGCAAGCAGGGCTTTCAGGTTTCAACCCTCCACACCTGCCATGGCTTCTGTGCTCCTATCTGCACTCCCAGATTTCCTCCTCCCCCCCGATTCTGTCCAGGAAACTTTGTGTTTGGTCAAAATAGTTACAAAGTTTAGCTGGAAGTTTCCTTCTCCCTGTGGTCCCAGTTCCACTGGCAGCCCTTCCCAAGGACCCCTGTGAGACAAAGTCAGAAATGGCTTCCCTGGGGACCAAGAGTGCCCACAAGGCTCTTCCCACTGCTTCCTCTACCCCTATATTTCACTTGGCTCTCTAAATTCATCTCAGCTCCAGGTAAGGTCAAATCCTTCTCCCATGATATGGCCCTTCAGGTTCCCCAGTGAGGATGTACATTTGGGGGCAGACATTTCCTCTTTCACACTTTGGACACTCACAGTTTTTCAGCTGTCTTACGGAGCCTGCAGTGGCAGGCCGCTTCCTTCAGAGGATCTGTGGATTCTCTTGGCTTTCCTGGTATGTTCCTACGGTAGTTCTTGGAGCAAAAGTTCACAGTGTGAGTCCCCACACACTGCTCTGTCTGTCCAAGTGGGAGCTGCAAGTTAGTCTTGCCTCCATCTGCCATTTCTCTTGATCTTGCCACATTGTATTATACCTACTTCAATACTTTCTCCTTGCAAAAATAGACTTATCCTACATGAGCTGCTTGGTATCTTGCTTTTTTCACTAAAGAATACAACATCTCCCCATATAAATAAATCTGCTTCCACAGTATCATTCTTAATGAACTGTCTGTTCATGTCTGTTCTTGTCTCTCCTATTACGGTCTCTCTTAATATTGATTAGTCTCTCCCATTGTGTTTCTAAGGGTTCCCATAGTTAATGATAGTCAAAAACGTATGTTTCCATTTCTGTTTTGAGAATAGGTGAAAAGTAAAATAATTTGAACATTTCCCCCATCAAAGCAGAAGGGAGCAGAAGCTGCTATTCTCACTTTGCCCAATTACCCCTTTCCATTGTTTTTGTTCCTGATCAGGGCTCTTAGCTCAAAGACAACGAACGCAAACGAACACTGAAGCTTGATGCAACCAGTTTTGCAAATTCACCTCCAGACTCTTCTCCTGTTCAGGAAGTTGAATTCATCTCATGACAATTTTAGTTCAGCACACTGAGACTTCAAGTATGCTTGATTTTTAGAAGTCCATGTGATAAAGAGAAAAAAAATGAGTGTTATTTATATATATCCGAGTTGGCTTTTCATTGATAGGAATAAAGACTAGCCACATTTTCAAAGTGTTATTGGCAGAGAAGTGTTTGCAGATAAGGGTCTGAAACTTTTTCTCTTGTCATTTATAAACAATAAGTGAGTCATGAAAATCAAATGATTGGCTATTTTTAAGCACAAAATGAAATCATTCTAAACATCCAGGTCATGAAAGCAGTAATTCACTTCCTGGTAACTTCCAGTAATTAATATATAAACTTTCTCTCTATATTAATGCAGTTCAATCTCTAAGCCAAACACAACGTATCATCGAAAAATGTATATGACAACAATTTATGCTTTTTCTTGCTTAATTTAAAATAAACAGCAATGCTCGTTTGTTAAATGAGAGAAAGACTGTACAGAGGTTATCACTTAACTGACCTCCACTTACCAGTTTGCTCGATCAGCCTATGCCAGTGGATCTCTTTTTTTTTTCTTAATTTTTAAGTTCAGGGGTAGGTACACATGTAGGTTTGTTACATAGGTAAGCTTGTGTCATGGGGGTTTGTTGTACAGATTATTTCATTACCCAGGTATTAAGCTTATTACCCATTAGTTATTTTTCTGGATCCTCTACCTTTTCCCAGTCTCTGCCCTCCAGTAGGCCCCAATGTCTGTTGTTCCCCTCTGTGTGTCCATGTGTTCTCATCATTTAGCTCCCACTTATAAGTAAGAACATGCAGTATTTGGTTTTCTGTTCATGCATTAGTTTGCTCAGGATAATGGCCTTCAGTTCCATCCATGTTCCCGCAAAGGACAGTATCTCATTCCTTTTTATGGCTGCATAATATTCAATGGTGTATATGTACCACGTTTTTTTAATCCAGTCTATCATTGATGGGCATTTGGGTTGATTCCATGGCTTTGCTATTGTGAATAGTGATACAATGAACATATGTGTGCGTGTGTCTTTATAATAGTATGATTTATATTCCTTTGAGTATAACCCAGTAATGGAATTGCTGGGTCAAATGGTCTCTAGGTGTTTGGAATCACCACACCATCTTCCACAATGGTGGAACTAATTATACTCCCACCAACAGTGTAAAAGTGTTTCTTTTTCTCCAAAACTTCACTAGCATCTGTTTTTTGCTGTTTGTTTGTTTTTACTTTTTAATAATAGTCATTCTCACTGGTGTGAGATGGTATTTCATGTTGGTTTGGATTTGCATTTCTCTAGTGATCAGTGATGTTGAGCTTTTTTTTCATATGATTGTTGGCTGCATGTACGTCTTCTTTTGAAAACTGTCTGTTCATGTATTTTGCCCACTTTTTAATGGGGTTGCTTGTGTTCTTCTTATAAAGTTGTTTGCATTCCTTACAGATGCTGGATATTAGACCTTTGTCAGATGTATAGTTTGCAAAAATTTTCTTCCATTCTATAGGTTGCCTGTTTACTCTGTTGCTAGTTTATCTTGCCATGCAGAAACTGTTTGGTTTAATTAGGTCTCATTTGTTAATTTTTGATTTAGCAGCAATTGCTTTTGGCATCTTCATCATGAAATCTTTGCCCGTGCCTGTGTCCAGAATGGTATTACCTAGGTTGTCTTAAAGGGTTTTTATAGTTTTGGTTTTTTTACATTTAAGTCTTTAATCCGTGTTGAGTTAATTTTTGTATATAGTGTAAGGAAGGGGTCTAGTTTTAATCTTTTGCATATGTGGCCTATGCCAGTTGATCGCAAAATGTGATTCCTAACCAGCTGCATCAGCATCACCCGGGAAGTTGTTATAAATGCAAGTTCTCAGGCCCCACCCCAGGCCATCTGTATCAGATCATGGGGCCCAGCGATCTGGATTTTAACCAGGCCTCCAGGTGATTTTCATTTTTTGAGATGGGGTCTCACTCTTTTGCCCAGGCTGGAGTGCAGTGGCAAAATCTTGGCTCACTGCCACCTCTGCCTTCTGGACTCAAGCAATCCTCCCACCTTAGCCTCCCAAGTAGCTGCGACCACAGGTGCATGCTACCACACCTGACAAATTTTTTGTATTTTTGGTAGAGACAGGGTTTCACTATGTTGCCCAGGGGGGTTTTGAACTCCCGAGCTCAAGCGATCCACCTGCCTCAGCCTCCCAAAGTGCTGGGATTACAGGCATGAGCCACTGCACCCGGCCCCTCCCAGTGATTTTGAGGCACGCTCGAGTTTGCTCTATGCTTGCCATTTAGTCTGTAAACACACTGAGCAATGCCCACAATAAGATGCACATTCCAGACTAGGAGACAACTTTCCAGCACGCCTGAGTATACCCTGTCCACAAGAGTCAAGTGGAATACTTACCAAGAGCCACTAACAACTATTCTAAGGCCTATTAATGCTATTTTTACCAGCTGTTATATTTAATTTTGAATAGCTTCTTTTACAGTGGAGTTAGGGCCGGGCGCAGTGGCTCACACATGTAATCCCAGGGAGTTAGGGAGGCCGAGGCGGGCAGATCACGAGGTCAAGAGATCGAGACCATCCTGGCCAACATGGTGAAACCCCGTCTCTATTAAAAATATAAAAATTAGCTGGGTGTGTTGGCGGGCACCTGTAGTCCCAGCTACTCAGGAGGCTGAGGCAGGAGAATCGCTTGAACCCGGGAGGTGGAGGTTGCAGTGAGCCAAGCTCACGCCATTGCACTCCAACCTGGGCGACAGAGCCAGACGCCATCTCCAAAAAAAAAAAATGGAGTTAGAAAAGGAATAGCAAATTTGCCAAAAAATCTTCAAAGGATGATTCTACACTCACATCATACTGTAAATTTCCAAACTTCATCCTCTAATTTAAGGTGACTAAAATTATAACTATAGGTAATACATTATGGATATGGTTTATATTATACAAGAATTGTAATCATACATTGATGTCACATCAAAGTGTTTTCAAATGAAAGTATATATAAATGTTTTAAGTTAAAATATTTAAGATTTATATACATTGTTTCTTAAGACTCCTTAATCAACTTTTATTAGGAAAAACCAAAGTGCTTTTCCTACTCTCATGCACTCAATACAACACAGAACACTTCAACGCTGGTCACCAAAATGGGTGAGGTTTTCTCTCCACCAACAATCAAGCAGGTCTCTAGCAGACACCAGCTGTGTGTTCTCTAATCCAATTCAATTAGGACACAATCTACCTGGAGAAAGCGTCAGATCCCACAGGCTAAGGGCTCAGTCCCACAAGACTGCCTCCCACTTCAGCTGCCAATCACAAGCAGTAGGTTGTTAAGTATTCCCAACCTTCTGGCTATAAATCAGGGATCCCACAGCCCCCTTCTCAGGTTCAATTAATTTGCTAGAGTGGCTCACAAAATACAGGGAAACACTTTCCTTACATTTACCCATTTATTATAAAGGAAATTACAAAGGCTACAGATGAATAGCCAGATGGAAGAGATGCATAGGGCAAGGTGTGAAAGAAAGGTCCCAAGGGCAGGAGCTTCTGTCCCTGTGGAGTTGGTGGAGGGCCATGCTCACAGCATAGGGATGTGTTTGCCAACCCAGAAGCTCTCTGAACCTCATAGTTGAGGGATTTTTATGGCACTGTCCTCACACAGGCATGACGGATTATTAATTCCATTTCCAGCCCTTCTCCCCTCTCCAGAGAATAAGAGACGGTGCTGAAAGCTCCAAGCTTCTAATCCTGGCTTGGTCTATCTGGTGACCAGCCCCCAGCCAGGAGCCCATCAAGAGTCACCTCATTAGGACAAAAGACACTGCTATCACCCAGGAAATCTCAACAGATGGAAGACCACTCTGTCAGAAACTGGGGCAGAGACCAAACATTAGAACAAAAGATTTTCCTAGCACCCCATCACTCAGGAAATTACAAGGGTTTTAGAAGCTGTGTGCCCAGGACTGGGAGCAGAGACCAACATGTATATAGCTTACTATTTCATAACTATTTGTATTAACTAATAACTTCTCAAACCCAATTGCAGCTATTGTATTTTAAGGAAACTTTATAACACAATCTTTAATATATTGATAAAAATTTAAAATATATATATATACTTTTTTTTTTTTTTGAGACGGAGTCTCGCTCTGCCGCCCAGGCTGGAGTGCAGTGGTGCGATCTCCGCTCACTGCAAGTTCCGCCTCCCGGGTTCATGCCATTCTCCTGCCTCAGCCTTCCAAGTAGCTGGGACTACAGGAACCCACCACCACGCCTGGCTAATTTTTTGTATTTTTAGTAGAGATGGGGTTTCACGGTGTTAGCCAGGATGGTCTCGATCTCCTGACCTCGTGATCCACCTGCCTCAGCCTCCCAAAGTGCTGGGATTATAGGCGTGAGCCACTGCACCTGGCCAAAAATATTTTTATTGAATAATCCGTTCTTGGCCGGGCACTGTGGCTCACACCCGTAATCCCAGCACTTTGGGAGGCCGAGGCAGGTGGATCACTTGAGGTCAGGAGTTCGAGCCCAGCTAGGCTAACATGACGAAACCCCATCTCTACTAATAATACAAAAATTAGCCGGGCATTGTGGCACGCCCCTATAGTCCCAGCTACTCAGGAGGCTGAGACACGAGAATCACTTGAACCCAGGAGGCGGGAGTTGCAGTGAGCCAAGATTGCATCATTGCGCTCCAGCCTGGGAGACAGAGTGAGACTCTGTCTGAAAAAAGAAAAGAAAAACCGTTTGGTGGTCTGCAAACAGTTGCTAGAAAAACTAACATCTCCAGCACAACACAATGTACAGCAAAGGAAAAAGTAATGTTCTTGGAAGATAGCCTTAGACTATTGGCTTGGTTAAATATTACATTACACAATTGTTAGTAATTTCATTTCATTCAGTCTCATAAAACCTGCTATTTCAGGTATGATATAGGAGCATTGTGGGTTCTACATGGCCAGCACTCCCTGTCCCCTGTCGCCATTCAAAATTGGTGATATTTTTAAAACCACTTCAGGGGTTTGCAATTCTAAAAAAGTTAGAAGACATTGCTATTATTTATTTAGCTGATCCCTGTTGTTGGAAGTTTATTTATTTTTAATTTATTAGTATTAGGAGTTATTGTAAATAATTCTATTGTCCACATAAATAGGCTGGTTTATTAAGTTAGTCTTAAATTTAATCTCACAAGTTAAATAAAATGAAAAATTCCATTTTGGATCTTGTATGTAACATTACAAGGAAGTTGGCAAATGCCAGGGAATTGCCATTTCCACAGAAATATTGTGACATCCAGCGACTGCTTAATTAGTCCAAACAACTTGGAACCATTTGTTTTAATGTTCCAAGGAGGGTCTGTTTAGTCCTTTGTCCCTCCAAGCTTGCTAAAATCTGTGCAGCTTGAATGCTGGAAATTTACAAACAAACAAACAAACAAAAGAAACAAACAAGTAATCCCAGTTGCAGCTGATATAGAGAAATTCATTTTGACTTGCGTCCTCAGTCCAAGGTGAACAATTGCTGGTCTGCAAACAGCTGCTAGAAAAACTAACATCTCTAGCACAACACAATGTACAGCAAAGGAAAAAAGTAACGTTGTTGGAAGATGGCCTTGGACTATTGGCTTGGTTAAATATTACATTACACAATTGTTGGTAATTTCATTTCATTCAGTCTCATAAAAACCTGCTATTTCAGGTATGATATAGGAGCATTGTGGGTTCTGCATGGCCAGCACACGCTGTCCCCTCAGACAAGGGTGAGGACAGTAGGGAGAGGAAGAAAAGCTTGGGCTGTCAATGAGGGACACCAGGACCCTTGAGGTGCCCTCTGAAATCTAACAATCAATCAACTTGAGCCCTTCCAGAGTTGGCTGCCAATTAACTGTTTTCCCCTATCCCCACATCATCTCAACAAGATCAGTGAATATTTTCAATACATTTTTGTCTTCTTCTTCCCATGGTCTGAAGTCAAAGTTTGGGAATGATTTTAGTTACCACTTCTTCACTCCAGTTCCTAGTTTTTCTGAGATAATTTAGTATTTTTGTTTTCAAATTGTTAAATTACCTATAAAGTATGCCGTTTTATTTCTAGAGTCTATATTTGCACTTATATTACAGATTCATTGACAGTCTACCCTTAGTCATTTAGGTAGATAGATAGATATGAATAGATGATGAATATAAGTATCTCAAGTTTCATTGCTCATGCTCATTTCTTCTCATCTTCTTACACTATCATAATGTCTGCTTGGATTTGCTTGTAGTTTGGTTAGAGTATGTGCTCAAGAAAATCCCTCATTTGGGAACACTTAGGTTTATAATCTCTGAATTCTTATATACTCTCAAATTTCTTTCATTACCACATGAGATGTGATATCTTGGCTGGGTATAGAATTGTGGCTTTCATTTCTTATCTCTCAGAAGTCTACAGCTCTCAGAAGTCTGCAGATTCAATTCCACTAGCTTCTGTCTTTGCATGTGATGGAATGTAACAATGCCAGTCAGAATCTTTTTCTTTGAGAAGTGATTTTTCCTTTTTGCCTAAAGATTTTATGATTTTCTCTTTATTTTTTTTTATTCAGGAATTCTATTGGGATTTGCCTGGATATGAGTCTTTTCTCATCGATGTGGCCTGGAAATCAGTATACTGTTTCTGTCTACAGGCCACCAATATCGATTCAACTTTTCTTTTATTATTTTTTAAAGGACTGCCTCTTTTCCTTCAGAAGCTTTATTATAGAATTAGACTTTCAGGCCTATTCTCCAAGTTTCATCATCTCTCTTGATATACTTTTTTTCCCCTCAGGTCATTGGGATATTTTTTGGACTTGCTCTTCCTGGCAACTAAGTTGTGTCTTGACAGTACATTTCTCTTCTACTTATTTTTGACATTGCTTAATTGGAAAATTATGATTTTTAACTTCAGAAATTCTGTTCTGTGCTGCCAGTGACCCTCCTTATTTGATCTTTTTTTCCTCACTAAATTGTTGTCTGTCTCCTCCAGCAGCTTCATTCTATTGATTATATATTCTGTTTGTTATAACTGATCATCCTGCCTTTGACTGCTGAATGTCATTAGGTGGGATTTGTTGTTGCTGTTCAATGTTTGGGCAGAGAGGTCTTAGCTGGCCCATTTAGCTGCTTCTTGCCTTCCTAGAAGCCCAGTAACCAGGCCCATTTGTCAGGGCAGGTAGTGATTTTCCCCAGGGGCTCCTTTTGTTTCTGAATACTACCTTCTTCCCAATATCCACCATTGTCAGTCCTGAGCTCCCTGAAACTCGTCTCCAGGCACTCATATAACCCCTGGGAGAGAAAGTCCTATGCTGGTTCAATTAAACCTAGGATGTTGCTTTCATCCAGCTTTCTATAGACCTCAGCAGCTTTTTGGCTCAAGAGATCCATATGGATTGGACGTGGGAGTAAAGGAGAGGAGAGGGCCACATTCAGATAGATGGCTACATCCCCCAAACGCTTCTGCTTTCTCTGAGAGGACTTAAAAATACTCTTCTATTCATCGTTTAATAAGAGAAAAACTGTAACCTACGAATTATCTTGGATTTTTCCATATCTGAATGACTGTATTGGTTTTTTTCCTCCAACCTATTGATGGAATGAATTGTATCAGCATTTTTGCTGATACAGAACAATACTGCCACTCCTGGAATAAACCCCAACCAAGTCATTTTATCAGTCAGGATGCTTTCACCTAAAAATAATGAAAAGCCCAACTCACATCAATTGAAACAATAAAGAAATATATCGATGTATTTAACTAGAACACAAAAAGTAAGGCAGGTTCATGACTGGTTGTTCCAGGGCTTAACAGGCTCCTGTGACCTCAACATCAGCTTTGTCCTAAGGTGCAAATTCCTTGTAGTCATAGGATGGCTTTCAGTAGCAGCTGGAGCTATATGGTTCCTCCCTTACTTCTAGCAGAAGATGGTCATTTCAGGAAGCTTTCCCATCAAAGCAAAAAGGACATTTCCTAAGGGACTATGAAAGTGGCTCCTTGCATTCCTTATGCCCAGATTGTGTCCATGCCAATTCCTAAACCAGTCACTATCTAGGCAGTGGAAATTATCCATAGGCCAATCAAATCTCCCTTTGGAGTGAGGGACCGGAAGGCTTTCCCTGAAGCAAGCGGGTAAGGGGTGGATTCTGGAATCAAACTGACTTCCACTCAGAAGGGAGAAAGGCAAAGGAATGATGAACAGGCAAGCACCAATGTAAACCACAATCACCATCCTGGATTCACTTTACTAACGTGTGTGTGTGTGTGTGTGTGTGTGTTTAGTAGAGATGGGGTTTTTCCATGTTGGTCAGACTGGTCTTGAATTCCTGACCTCAGGACATCCACATGCCTCGGCCTCCCAAAGTGCTGGGATTACAGGTGTGAGCCACCGCACCTGGCTTTTTTTTTTTTTTTTTTTTTTTGAGATGGAGTTTCACCCTTGTCACCCAGGCTGGAGTGCAATGGCGCCATCTCGGCTCACTGCAACCTCCGCCTCCCGGGTTCAAGCCATTCTCCTACCTCAGCCTCCTGAGTAGCTGGGATTACAGGCATCTGCCACCATGCCCAGCTAAGTTTTGTATTTTTAGTAGAGATGGGGTTTCACCATGTTGGCCAGGCTGCTGTTGAACTCCTGACCTCAGGTGATCCACCCACCTCGGCCTCTGAAAGTCCTGGGATTACAGGCGTGAGCCACCACGCCAGACTGCTAACTTCTTATTTTGAATTTTGCATCACTGGTATATGGTTTTCTTCATGATGATCATTTCTCATAAGAAAATCTCGCAGGAATTTTCTACCAGAGACTTAAAAGTATGCAGCCCATCCTTCTCCCAAGCTGCTAGATTTGGGTCTGAGAGTCTCCTGATATTGCTCTTGCCAACTCTTAATTTACAGGGGATTCAAATAATTTGTTTTCAACTTTGCTGAATTTGAGAAAGCTTTACTGATGAGCTTTAGATCGTCTTTTCAATTCTACCAATATTATTTATTCATGCTTCCAGTCTTTGATCCGCTTATTTTTAATATCAAGTGATATTTTATTATATCCGTATTCCTTTCCATAAATTTGATTTTGCAGTCATAAGAAATAAAAACGAGAGATCTCATGTTTCCTTTACCCACTTTCCCCAGTGGCAACATTTGCAAAACTGTATTAACAAAAATCACAAGGATATTGACCTCGACTCAGTCAAGAGATAGAACATTTCCATCACCACAAGGATCACTCGTGTTGCCCTTTTAAAATTATTTTTTATCTTTTATTGTGCTTTAAAAACACATAAAATTTACCATTTTACCATTTGTAAGTGTACGGTTCAGTAGTGTTAAGTATATTCACATTGCTGTGAAACTATCTTTACTCTTAATTGCTCCAATCTTTGGTAAATACACCGCATTTACTCTTCATCTTGCCCTGTATACAAGATACAGTGGTAGGGTGGGCAGAACACAAGTAATGTTTAAGGTGGGAGGGGAAAAACATATGTACATGTGAAAAAATAACGAAATTGACAGTATATTTCTCAAAAGATAAATGACAGAATAGACAATTCTGCCATCTCATTCCTCCTTCCTTTTCTTTCATCCCCTCTGCTTCTTTTTTTTTGTAAAATTGATTACCTCTGATGAAATTTCACGGTGAGTTTTCTAATTAATCACAGTTCACTAGGAACTATTTTTCCCCACCTGCCATGAAATTTATTAAAACCAGGACAAAGATTTTTCCTTAAGAGGCTTCATCCATCTTACGGTATTGCTTTGGTCTGTGTCCAGCAGGTGGCACCAAAGGATAGTGAATAGAAATCAGTAAGCATCTTGATGGTGAATAGACTCAAAATTTGTGGGGGTTTATGGCACTTTGAGTCTTTCTACTTGATTGCATAATGATCAAAACTTTGCTTAGTCTATCCACTGAATATTTTAGCTCCTGGATCACTGTTACATTCTTCAACACATCTCTTGTCCTAATTTTTGGTGATGTTAATATCCATGTGGGTAATGCTTCCCAAGTCCTTCTCTCTGAGTTCCTTGACATCTTCTCCTCTAGTGATCTCTAAAGTGCCACCCTGTGCAACTGATCTCACAGTAAATTCATGGTTACTAATATCCAGGCAGCGGCTCTTAATGAGGCCAGGAATCCGCACCTGCCTTCTTGGATGTGGAGGACCTATCCATGCCCCCAGCTAAAGCCCATCCTATCTCAGCTACTCAAGGATGTCAGTCCTACAGATCTCTCATGTTATCAACATCTCCTCTACAGAAACTTTCCCAGCTTCATGTAATTGTGTTCTTCTTTCTTTGTGAATACCTGGAGGCCCCTTAACACCTGGTTTCCTTCTTATCCACACTTCCCACTCCAGGAACCACCCCTCCTCCTCCCCATTTCTTTCCTTCCTTTTACAGTCAAGTAAAAGGAAGAAAAAAGTTGTCTATACTCATTTTTTTTCTCCTGCTTATTCTCCTTTTAACCCATTTTAGTAATAGCATCACCCCCACCATTCCACTCAAACTGTTCTTGTTAAGGTCAAGGCTCACTGACTCTATTGGACAACTCTCAAGTCTTATTGTACTTGATCTGTCACAGGATTTGACATGGTTGATTGTTCCCTCCTCCTCACACACTCCCTTCACCTGCCCTCCAGAACGCCACGGTCTCCTGGGCTTCCTCCCGCCTCATTGGCTGCTCCTTCTGTTTCCCTCGTGAGTTCCTCCTCATTGCTCCGATCTCTACACATCGGAGAGCATAGAACATTTTCCTTTGGACGTCATCTCTTTTCTAACTACATATTCATCTTCGATGGTCACATTCAGTCTGATGGATAAAACACCATTCATATGCAGAAAACCCCCAAATTTTACATCCAATGAAAACATCTTCCTTAAGTCCAGGCTCCACTTGGATGTATCATCAGCCTCCAAACTCATTTTTTACAATTATACACACACACACACACACACACACACACACTTTTTTATTTCAATAGCTTTAGGGGTACAAGTGGTTTTTCATTACATAGATGAATTGTATACTGGTGAAATCTGAGATTTTCATACTTCCATCACCAGTGCACATTGTACCCAATATGTCATTTTTCATTCCTCACCCCCCTCCTGTCTTCCTGCTTCTGAGTCTTCAGAGTCCACAATAACATTCTGTATGCTTTGTGTATCCATAGGTTAGCTCCTGCTTAAAACTGAGAACATGTGGTATTTGGTTTTCTACTCCTGAGTTATTTCACTTAGAACAATACCCTTCAGCTCCATCCAAGTTGCTACAAAACACATTACTTTGCTCTTTTTTATGGCTGAGTAGTATTCCACAGCATCCCAACTCATTATGTCCCAGATGGAGCTTTCTCTGCTTCTCTTAGAGCCTTTTCTATCTCCGTGAATGCCAACTGCATCCTCCCCATAGTTCAGGCCAGAAACCTTAAAGCCATCCTTGACTCCTCTCTTTCATACGTTTTACCCAGTCTCTTAATAGATCCTGTCAGCCCTTCTTTCAAAATATATCAGAGTCCAACCACTTCTCACTACCTAAGCACTAAAATCTTGTCCAAACCACATCTGTCTCTCACTGGATTATTGAAATAGCCTTCTAGTTCATCTTTCAACTCTGCCCTTGTCTCTTTTCTGTCTACTCTGAAGACAGTAGCGAGGGAGGTCCTGTTATAAAATGATGTCGACCTAATCACTTGTCTAATCAACATCACAAAGGTCTCCCACCTCACACCAAGTAAGCCAGAATCATAACAACAGCCTTCGGTTCTGGGCTTCATCTTCAACTACTCTTCCCCCCACTCACTCACTCCAGCACACCAGCCCACTCTGTTCCTCAAATATGGCAGGCATGGGTCCCACCTCAGAGCTTTCGTCCCTCTCATTTGCTCTGCCCAATGACTGCCTGGGTCACTCTTCCTCCTCTTTCAGTCCAGTGAGCTCTTCTCTGATCACCTGGCTTATTCAAGTATTGTTTCATTTCATTTTACTTTACTTTATTTATTATTTATTTATTTTTTTTTTTTTCTGAGACAGAGTCTTGCTCTGTCGCCCAGGCTGGAGTACAGTGGCGCTATCTTGGCTCACTGCAACCTCCGCCTCCCAGGTTCAAGCAATTCTTCTGTCTCAGCCTCCCGAGTAGCTGGGATTACAGTCACGTGCCCCCATGCCCGGCTAATTTTTTGTATTTTTAGTAGGGATGGGGTTTCACCATGTTGGCCAGGCTGGTCTTGAACTCCTGACCTCGTGATCCACCTGCCTTGGCCTCCCAAAGTGCTGGGATTACAGGCATGAGCCATTGCGCCCGGCCATTTTATTTTATTTTAGACAGGATCCTCCCTCTTTCACTCAGGTTGGAGTGCAGTGGCATCATCAGAGTTCACTGCAACCTCGAACTCCTAAGCTCAAGAGATCCTCCTGCCTCAGTCTCCCAAGCATCTGGGACTACAGCTGCGTGCCATCATGCCTGGCTAATTTTTTTATTTTTTGTAGAGATGGAGTCTCACTGTGTTGCCCCTGCTGGTCTCAAACTCTTGGCCTCAAGGAATCCTTTCACCTCAGCCTCCCAAAGTGCTGGGATTACAGGTGTGAGGCACCATTCCTGTTCCTAGACCACCTGTTTAAAACCACATTCTCACCCCACCCATCATTCTGTAACCTGCTTCTAGCTTTATTTTTCTCCATAGTGATGTGTATTGGTTTATTGCCTATCTTTCCCCACCTAGAGCATAAGATCTACGTGGGCAGCAACCTGTGTTGTTTTGTTCCCTGCTGTGTCCTCAGAGCC
Source organism: Homo sapiens (assembly GCF_000001405.40). NCBI lineage: Eukaryota > Metazoa > Chordata > Mammalia > Primates > Hominidae > Homo > Homo sapiens. The sequence continues at coordinate 17,159,305 of NC_000006.12, forward strand.
AAGGAGGGTGCCTGGTACATGATTGATCCTCGATACAGACTCGTCGAGTGAATGAATAAATGAGTGATTCCTCTGCATTGGATCAGCAGTTGACTTGCACAATATTTATTGTGCACAAACATAATCTTTCATTCCTGACATACAGTGTGTTGCCCTTCCTAAGTACAAGCACAGGCAGAGCTCCAAGTCCTTGGTCAATGTTTTATTGAAAGGTAAGTTTAAAACTCAGAACAAACCGGCTCTCATGCTTTTGTAAATCATTTACCAAAATATGTTCTACCAACAATTTCCTTTCCTTGGGCCAGCTTTTATCTGAATGTACAACACTTAATGGCATAAATTCTACAAGGCTGAACACAATGGCATGTTTTATAAAAATACCCAGCTGAGGACATAAAAACACCCTTACCTCCAGAATTATCTATAAATGTAGGTATTCCCCAGCCTACCCAGTGTTTTAGATACTTGAGAATGGACGACTGTAATTTATTTTTTGGAACTATGCTAAATTTCTCCTTTGATCACTTAAATGTAAATACTTGCATTCATCTTAATAAAAAAGAAGGACCTTGGGTCTCCATCCTCCAGATGACAGCATGTCCTACATTTTAAATGTAAAGAGTTTAAGTCATGTTTTGCTTTTTGTCAGGTGATATGGTTATGCCTTGTGTCCCCACCCAAATCTCATCTTGAATTGTAAGGCCTAGGTATCGAGGGAGAGATCTGGTGGGAGGTGATTGGATCATGGGAGGCTTTCCCCCATGCTGTTTCTGTGATAGTGAGTTCTCACGAGATTTGATGGTTTCTCAAGGCAGTTTTCCCTGCTCTCTCCTGCAGGTTCTTCTCTCTCCTGCCACCTTGTGAAGAACGGGCCTTCCACCATGACTGTAAGTTTCCTGAGGCCTCTCCAGCCATGCAGAACTACGAGTCAGTTAAACCTCCTTTGTCTATAATTACCCAGTCTCAGGCAATTTGTTATAGCAGTGTGAGAACGGACTAATATATCAGGTGAAATAATTTGCAGTTTATTTGTTCAGAATAATGAGACCACAGCCAAACTTTTTTTGTACCAATGGGATTTAAAATGCTAAACCCTGCTTGTGGGGTTTTGTAGGGAATGTGGAAAATGGCATTAATTCCTGTGTAGAGAGCATAGTGGTGTAGGAAAATTCCTTTTGGAAATCTGCATCTTTTCCATAGTGTCCAGCTTTGAAATCAGTTTCCAGGTCCAGCTAAATGAATAGGCTTAACCCCCATCTAAAGAGTTATGCTACCTTTTCACTCTAAGTATTTTATGCTTTAAGGAAAAAGTCAAGCAACTCTTGCTTATAGAGTTGGTTCTTGACCATCCTGTCTTGCATGCGATAAATGTTTCTTTTGCACATATTCTGTGCTGGACACCATGCTAGGTCTTAAGGATGCAGAGAATACAGGGAAAACATGAGTAAAACTTAGCTTTATTTATAAGGAATCAGATCTATTAGGGAAGGAGAGAAATGTGCAAACAAGTCATCAAAATGCATTGAAATGTGTTCTAAATTAGTGTACAGAGGAGAGGAGAAAGAAACTATATTGCTGAAAGGTTCTGTGAAGGTTTCATGGAGAAAGTGACATTTTAGCAGAATCTTGACTGATGAGTGGGAGTCTACCCAACATAGAAATAGGAGAAAAAGACTCCAGGGGGAGAATTGTATATGCAAAGACTGAAGGTGTGAACAAACATGGTATGGTGATAGGACAGGGAAATGTCTGTGTGCCTGAACCAGAGGTGTGGAGTGAAGGAGATGTGGCTGCCTGAGCTCAAGCGCCTGTGTACCTGGCTCAGTGAGTGGGAATTAATCTGAAACATTCAAGGGTGTTCAGCAATGGACGAATGCACTGATCTGTTTTGGGATGATCCCTCTAGTCCAGTTCCTCTGAAAGTGTGGCTGTGGGCCAGCAGCAGCAGCATCACCAAAGAGCTTGATAGAAATTTAAATTCTTGGCCCCAACCCCAGTCTTCAGAGTTTAAAATTCTAGGCATGGGGTCTGGAAATCTGTTTGTAACAAGGCATCTGGATGATTCTGATGCACACTCAAGCTTGAGAACCACTACTCCAGTAACTGCTTAAAGATGAGATGGGTTAAAGGCAGATTGAAGCTCTGTAGATTGTTCCAAATAGCTCAGACCTAGAGGGCAGGGAGAGCCAGGCACATGATTTTGGTCAGGACAGGGTGGATTAGAGCGACCTTTCTGAAAGCTCATGTTTGGCAGGAGACAAGCAAAAAATATCTAGAGCATCAGTTCTGAAATCTCATTGAGTACCAAAATTATCCAGGTGATTGTTTAAAAATATAACTTCTGGGTCCCATCAAGAAGTTACGAAGCTTACTAAGCAGTATCAGCACATCTGTTTGGGACTCCTCTTCCTCAGCTGTTCTTATGTCTTCTTTGAACTTTGTGGCTTTTGTGCATGGAATCTTTCTTCTTGCTAAAGTTGTTCACCCCGTTGCTCTTTTTGGTGATTTCTGGTGACTCCCACCTGCCTTCTTTATAGAAGGATACAACCTGGGAGCCTCAGATCAGGGAGCAGCTGTCACTACACAGAGGCCCGTGGCTCTTCATTGTGGACACTCACTAAATCCCATGGAGAGTTAAAAAAAAAATACTGATGCTCAGGCTCAACCTCAAACTGAAGAAATTAGAATTCCTGGGAGTGAAGTGCTTCTAAAACGCTCTCTAGGTGATTCTAGCATGCAACTAGCACTGAGAACTGCAAACCAGTCCAACATCTTCATTTTAGTGAGACGAAGAAGTCAGAAAAAGAGAGATGCCAGGGGCAAGGAGGAGGAGTGTATCATGTAATTTGGGTCAAATAAGGGCACAGTCAACTGTATTAAAATGCTTAAAGTGGAGAAGGAAGAGTACCAAGAAAAGGTCATTAAATTTAGTAATGAGGATGATACTGTTGGACTTCCAGGCACAAACAACAGAACAAAGCCAGCTCATAGACTCTCTCACCACTAGCCAAGACAACGAACAAAATACCGTGAACAAACACAAAAGCCAAAAGGAAACAATAAAAATTTCCCAGTTGCAATTTAACAAGGAAAAAGGAACAACTTCTTATTATATATTTTGAAAAAGAAGCATCGGCCAGGTGCAGTGGCTCATGCCTGTAATCCCAGCACTTTGGGAGGCCAAGGTGGGTGGATCATCTGAGGTCAGGAGCTGGAGACCATCCTGGCCAACATGGCGAAACCCCATCTCTACTAAAAATACAAAAAATAGCTGGATGTGGTGGCACGTGTCTGTAATCGCAGCTACACAGGAGGCTAAGGCAGGAGAATTGCTTGAACCCAGGAGGTGGAGGTTGCAGTGAGCTGAGATCGTACCACTGCACTCAGCCTGGGTGACAGAGCAAGACAAAAAAAAAAAAGGAAGGAAGGAAGGAAGGAAAGAAAGAAAGAAAAGAAAGGAGGGAGGGAGGGAGGAAGGAAGGAACAGAGAAGCATCAAGGGAGAGTGAGACAAAAAAGAAAGAAAGCGAGAGAGAGAAAGGGAGGAAGGAAGGAAGGAAGGGAGGGAGAAAGAGAGAAAGAAAAGAAAGAGAGAGAAGCATCAAGGGAAAAACCGAAAGATTCTGAAGTGGTACAATATGGTGTGGCTTCTGCCTGCTTTCTCCTCCCCAGAAACACCACGATGGAAGAAGGTTAGTCAATAAAATCTTGAGCCATCTCACTCATAATACCTGCCAATTTCCGGAGAAGTAGACCAAGGGAGGATTGGCATCTCATATGGTTTGAGATGTTTTGCCATTCTGCTTGAACCCAGGAGGCAGAGGTTGCAGTGAGCCAAGAACAGCCACTACATTCCAGCCTGGGTGACACAGTGAGACTCTCTCAACAAATGCAAAAGAAAAAGAAAGAAAGAAAAGAGCCTGGTGTCTCTCTTGCCCCTTCTCTTGCCACGTGACACACTGGCTCTCCTTTCCTTCTGCCATAACTAAAAGCTTCCTGAGGCCTCACCAGAATCCGAGATTTGAGTGCCATGCTTATACAGCCTGTAGAACCATGAGCCAAATAAACCTCTTTTCTTTTTTAATAAATTACCCAGTCTCAGGTGTTCCTTTACAGCAACACAAATGGACAAACACAGCATCCCTGTGAAAAAATATAGATAGGCCCCTCAGATTAGAAGCCCTTCTCTCCCTAGGGAACTTTGAAAAATGCTAGAAAGGACACCAAGGTTTCCCACCCTCCAAGACACCATGCTGGGCTGGGGTAATGAGCCTAACCTCACGCAACTTGCTGAATCAAGTGGGCCCTTTGAATTTGACATAATTTCCAAGAACTTTCTTTTCCTTATTTATGTATGTATTTTTTTGTAGAGATGGGGTCTCACTATTTGCCCAGGCTGGTCTCATATTCCTGGCCTCAAGTGGTCCTCCTCTGCCTTGTCCTTCCAAAGTACTGGGATTATAGGCATGAGCTACTGTGCCTGGCCTCAAAGATCTTTCAGAACTCACATCCTCCAGGCTCAGACATTAGCCCCAGCTTGGCTTCACATAAAAATAAACTAAAAGCAACACCTAGCCTTAAAACTGGAAACACACAATAAACTAACCAGTCTCAAAATACAGTAGGGAATATGTCAAGAAGAATGCATTATGCTACATGACAGCAATTAGACATCTGAGCAGAGCTGTCTATTTATGAGTAATTTCTGTCTGCTCTACAGGGATTCTAAGGCCAAAAAGAAAACTAAGCGAAAAGAAAATTAAAGGTGAAAAGAAGAGAGCATGCAAAAGGTAGACAAAGAACCACATCTGGAAGAAAACATAATCAAGAAATAATTTCCTGTGCATGCATCATGCAACAGGGGCACTTTATTTCAAAAAATAATTGTTTTATTCCAGAAAAGTCTAACACTCTTGGAGGAAAGAGATTTGGAGGGGTGGTGAGACAGAAACCAGATCCCAGGCTAGGCGTGGTAGTTCACACCTGTAATCCCAGCACTTTGGGAGGCCAAGGTGGGCAGATCACATGAGGCCAGGAGTACAAGACCAGCCTGGCCAACATGATGAAACCCCATCTCCACCAGAAATACAAAAAATTAGCTGGGCGTGGTGATGCACACCTGTGGTCCCAGCTACTTGGGAGGCTGAAGTGGGAGAATCGCTTAAGCCCAGGAAATGGAGGCTACAGTGAGCCAAGATCATGCCACTGCACTCCAGCCTGGGTGACAGAGCAAGACTCTGCTTCAATTTCAAAAAAAAAAAAAAAGAAAGAAAGAAATAAAAGAAAAAGAAAAACAGATCCCAAAGAGTAAAGGTAGGGCTTACGCAGGATGAATAAAAAGGAAAACAGAAGTTGGAGAGCTGCTTGTCTGAGAAAAAGAGGGGATTATTATTATTTTTGTTATTTTTTTAATCACAAGACGGAATCATTGAGCATATTTGTAGGAGAGAGAAAATAAGTGTCAGAAACAGTCTTATGTCTATTATTCTTAAAAAAAAAAAAAAGGAAATTCTGACACATGTCACTACCTGGATGAACCTTGAAGACATTGTGCTAAGTGAAACAAGCCAGTCACAAAAAGACAAACATCATATGATTCCACTGATCTAAAGTACCCTGAGTAGTCAAATTAATAGAGACAGAAAGTAGAAGGAGGATTGCCAGGGGCTGGGGAGGGGGAAATGGGGAGTTGTTTAATGGTACAAAGTTTCATTTTGCAAGATGAAAAGGGTTCTGGAGATCCTTTGCACAGCAATGTGAACATACTGAACACGACCGTACACTTAAAATGGCTAAGATGGTAAATTTTATGTTATATGCTTTTTACCATAATTAAAAATAAATATGTAAATAAATAAAATAGAAAGTCTTAAGGTTCAAATAGCCACTTTTGTCACCTCACTCTGATGGTGGCAACTCATCTGTTCAAGGTGATTTCCATCCTCTCTGATGGAAAGGAATCCTATTGGATCCAGCCTGACTTTGACCATATGCTGAGGCCACATTGTAGAAAATAACTTGGACTACATCATTTAAAAATAATGGTTTAATAACTTTTCATCATAAGTTACTAATAGATGACAAGTACTATACCACAACTTAATCCGTATTTATATCACTCTGTGTTAATTACCTGGTTGTGGCACAGCTCGCTGTAGAATCCAAAGGCATTGCCTATGTTCACTAGCAGGAAAATGAACCGCAGCCTCTGTATTGAGCAACAGATTTGCTTTCTCATGCATAACTGTTTGGAAGAAACCCCAAAGCTCCAGTATCCATACAAGTCCTGGAATTCTCACAGATGAATTTTCAAGATAATTCTTATTCATTTTGTAGCAATTCCCCCTCTGTACACCCATTTCCTGTTTGATTATTTTTAGCATTACTCAAGCTGGAGATTCTGATCTGTCGGTAACAAGCTCTACCCTCAACTTGCTCGTTAAGGTAGTCAGCAAGGCTCTTTAAGAACATCCAGAAATCTCAAATTAAGGGGATGAAACCCCAGGAATAGATCACCTAAAAGATGAATGGAATGGGCTTCTCATTTCTCCTGTGTGCAATATACAGAAAGAATTTTCACTGTATTTAATTGCCTTTCCCTCTCATTGATATCTGGCTCTTTAAAGGCGTGCAAGATAGTTAGTTAAAAAAGAAAAAATGTCTGTACCCATGGCAACCTCTGATGAAAAGGACCAGCAGCTATTTCCAAGGATAGGTGCTTTAGATGAAAGACCTGAAGCTATGAGAGGCCAGCCAACATAGAAAGCAAATGTGTGGGCCGGGCGCGGTGGCTCACGCCTGTAATCCCAGCACTTTGGGAGGCCGAGGCGGGCGGATCACGAGGTCAGGAGATCGAGACCATCCCGGCTAAAACGGTGAAACCCCGTCTCTACTTAAAAAAATACAAAAAATTAGCCGGGCGTAGTGGCGGGCGCCTGTAGTCCCAGCTACTTGGGAGGCTGAGGCAGGAGAATGGCGTGAACCCGGGAGGCGGAGCTTGCAGTGAGCCGAGATCCCGCCACTGCACTCCAGCCTGGGCGACAGAGCGAGACTCCGTCTCAAAAAAAAAAAAAAAAAAAAGAAAGCAAATGTGTGGTGCACCGTAACAGCATTCCTTCCAGGAGAGGAGTACTTTGGGATTGAAGATATCTCAAGTGGCCTTTTCAAAAACCCAATTGAAGTAATAGTTTACAAACAGCACTGTATCATAATGAGCATAAACATTTCTGTGAATAACACAATTTTCATTTCTATCTATTGTCATAATTGCTGCATAATATTCCACCCAATGGATATAATGTATATTTTTAGGCTGGGTGTGATGGCTCATGCCTGTAATCCCAACACTTTGGGAGGCTGAGGCAGGCGGATCACTGGAGCCCAGGAGTTCAAGATCAGCCTGGGCAGCATGGAGAAACCCCATCTGTACATAAAAGATACAAAAATTAGCCAGGCATGGTGGCACACACCTGTAGTTCCAGTTACTTGGGAGGCTAAGGCAGGAGGATTGCTTGAGTCTGGGAGGCAGAGGTTGCAGTGAGCCAAGAATGCACCACTGCACTTCCAGCCTGGGTGACAGAGCAAGACTCTGTCTCAAAATACGTGTATATATGTATGTGTGTGTATATATATATATATATATATATATATATATAATTTTTTTTAATTTTTCTCATGTTGTTTAATACTTTGACTGCTTCTGATATTGCACTGTTAGCAATAACCATGATGAACATCTTTTTCCAAGTAGGTTTTCCCATATTGTGAATTGTTTCCTTATAATAGACTCTCAGAAAGGAATTATGGAGTCAAAGGATAAGAACATTTTTATAGTTCTTGATCCATGCTGCCCAATGGATTCTGTCAATTGAAGACCAATTTCACTCTATCCCTGTGAACCCTCAATATCATTAAAATAATTTTAATGTTGATTTGCACTGAAATGATTACTACTAAAGCTAAACATTTTCCATATATTCCTTATTCATTTATGTCTCTTTTTGTGAATTATTTATGTGATAGTTTGGAAACCAATGGCAGAGAAGAAGTTAAGTTCTGAAGCTTTCTAATACCTTCAAACACTTCCTTTCACACATCTCAACTACCTGTGACTAGCAGGCCAGAAAAATTCCCATGACACTATTATCACACCAGGCCGCTCTGCTGGGAGTGAGCACGTCCCATGTGGTTTCAGGCCAATCCAGAAGTGCCTTTGTGTTACCCACTGCCTTCTTCTGGCTGCCTGTCTGCCCTCTGGCGTCTCAGAGAGGTGATGCTGCCACTTCTGCGGCTGGATACTTGATTCCTGAAATCCGTGGTTCCCGACATTGATTGCATATTAGAATCATCTGGGGAACTCTTAAAATTCCCAATACCCAGAACTTTCTATACACCAATTAAACCAGCTTTCTTGGCATCAGTGTTTGTGAAAGCTCGATTGAGGATTCCAAGGTGCAGCCAAGGTTGAGAACCACAGCTTTAAATCCACAGTCATAAGGAGCACCCAACTAGGCATTCAGGATACAAAGCCCTGTGCAAGTTCACTGCTGCCCTCGGGCAGCTCACAACCCCCGTGGTGGGGACAGAAAAAGGTTTGAATGACAAAGCACACTCTGAATGTTATAAAAGGGAGTAATCATAAATAAATAAGTATATAAACATATATATTTATAATTAAATAGTACATATATTTATAAAAAGTAAAATATAGTTATTTAAATAAATATATGTATACATTTACTTTTATTAACTATAACTTGATCAACCAGTACCATCAACTTAAGGAAATTTTTGTGCACGCAGTTTTTATCATTAAGGGGTAAGCTATATAAAAACAGAGACTTGTTAAAAACACACAGGTAACAAACGCTGAGTTTGTGAATATCTCTGAACTTTCAGCCACTACTAACCTACAAGGTTGATTTTCCACATACGGGCGCTGATTTTTTTTAAAGGATGACCTTAAAACACTTTCAGATTCTGGCTTGCCTAAGAAATGGTTGCTTATGTTCACTATGCTATATTTACTAAGGCACAAAATATATATATATATATATATATATATATATATATATATATATGCATGCAGATTAGAAAAACCATTTAAAAACTAGAGATAAAAAGGGTTTTCGCTTGACTTCTCTTAAGAAATTTAACTCATTGCATTATTTCTCCCTGGGGGTACTGGAGCAGTATTTACCTATTCACCACGTGGTGCTTTGGACAAATTCGTAAATTATGGGCTTTGCCATAGTCAATGTCCCTACAACATCTCTTCTGACAAACCCAAGCCCCATTCTGTGGAAGACAAGTCTCTTCATTCAAGATCTGGATCAAAAGCATCAGAAATTGTTTTCTTACGTTTTGCTAATTGAGAATGTTAGGCCTGCTTGAATGGTATTTATAATTATAAATCCAAATACTGTCTTTAGAATTTTAAAAATCTATCTCATTATTTTACTGAATCTTAATGCATTTCCCCCCAAATTATCAAGATAATTATAGGTTTTAAAATGAAGCTGGGTGCCGTGGCTCATGCCTGTAAATCCCAGCGCTTTGGGAGGTGGAGGCGGGAGGATTGCTTGAGTCTGGGAGTTTGAGACCAGCCTGGGCAACACAAGGGGGCCCTGTCTCTACTAAAATTAAAAATAAAAATTAGCCAGGCATGGTGGTGCACCCCTGTAGTCCTAGCTACAGAGAAGTTAAAGTGGGAAATGGCTTGAGTCCAGGAGTTTGAGGCTGCAGTGAGCTATGATCACGCTACTGCACTCCAGCCTGGGTCACAGAGCAAGACTGACCCTGTCTCTAAAAAAAAAAAAAAAAAAAGTGAAAATAAATAAATGAGTAAAACGGCTTTATAGGCTTCATCTTACAGACATTTAGCCCTTGCTTTTTCTACTAAGGCCAATAATGAAATATAGCTCCAATCGTCTATATATAAACACACAGACACACATTAGACCTCAAAGAATTGAATTTATTTTTATGGGTTAAAGCATTTGAATGTTATCTGAGACAGGATTAAAGGCAAAGTGTTCCTGACTCTTCCTAACGGAAATAGGATCATCGCTGGCCCTGGGCCTGGTGGTTGAGTCCTCAGCTAGAATCATATACTGTATTCAAAAAAAAGACAGTTGAGCTCAGAAGCGTGTCCCAGGGTAAAATTGCTGCCCTAGCGGCTGTGCAAATTCTCAGGAAGCTAGATCAGAATTTCCAAGAGGCAGCTGGTCACGGCCATTCCTTCAGCTATCCTGGAAAGGGCAGGATTCTTGACCATGCTGGAGGCCCAGATGCCAAATAGGACCCAGTGTTCATGCTCACATAACCGCAGGCCCTGACTCATGAATTTTTGTTTCTGGCATCTATGTTGATATAGATACTCTATTAGAATAACTCTGGGCTCTTCTGTTGTAAAACCAAGCTTGATATGAAGCGCCAGAGAAGGCCAAAGACATATTTATTTCCCTCGATCACTAAGACAAATGTCACCTCAGAAAAACCAGATGTTAATGAGCAGGGGAAACAACAGTATTATTTCATCCTTCCGCTGGCATGGCCTAGAGTTTGGCTGGTCTCTGATCCTGCCTCAGCAAATATGATGCACTTGACATTCATAGCAGTTTCTTGGATGAGGCGATTGGCGCCTGAGTGTTTACATGATTCCAGCTGATTCTCTTTCCTGCCACCCTCTAGGGGCTGAGCCAGCCATGGATGGGATTAGCCAGCCCCTCATTCCAAAGAGTAGTGCCCCCAATCTGTGCTGGTGCTCTGACATGAACACTCTTTCCTCTTCCTAAGAAACATTCGCCAAAGAAAATAAGGTACTTGGAATGAACACACAATTAAATATGGAAGGTGAGAGAAAGGAGAAATGGACACCTACCAAGTCCTAGCTCTTAAAGGAGAATATAATGCTCAAGACCAACACCTCTCCTTGAAGGATAATCTGGGCACATTAGACAGGTAGACTCTCCCTGTCTCATAGCTCTCCCTGCATGAGGTCAGCCAAGCTAAAAGGACTTCCTATTCCCCTAAGAACAACAGAGAGAAGGGAAGCTGCAGGTTAAGTGGCGTTAGCCTTACTTCTAGTAGCTAACCTGGGTGTGGGGTGTCTCTCCCTGTGCTGAGGGAGTGAAGGGAACCAAGAAGAGAAACTTGGATGACCCAGAAAAGGGAATGAGGTCAGACTATAGTTGGACCTCAATAGGACCCTCAGCAAGTAATGCCCTGCCAAACACTTTACATGGCTGATCTCCTTTAATACTCAGACAATTCCATGTGATATTATCATCCCAATTTTGCAAATGAAAAAATTAAAATTTTACATTGTTGAGTGTTGTATTCAGCATCTCACATTAAGTAGCCAAGTCTCATTTGAATCCAGGCCTGTCTGCCTCTAAGCCTCACACACTGCCCTGTAGCCCAGCAAGAGATCTAGGTTTCCTGCTTAATTTACCTGCTTTTGTCTTTGTCCTTCAAAGGAGGCAAATAAATATTCTTGAATGAAGTGTTAGCTCCCTTAGGGAACCAGGAATGGAGAATGAGAAGGATAAGGAAATAATTTTGATCTATTAAATAATGATTAAGTGCAACAAAGCTAAACTTGATGGTAGAATTTGATCCGATTTTCTGTTGCAACCAACATTTGTGTTCTTGAAGGAGGACACAGGCTTCGATGCTCATGTGTTACACCGTTCTTGAACTGCTATAAAGAAACACTCGAGACTGGGTAATTTATAAAGAAAAGAGGTTTAGGCCGGGCGCGGTGGCTCACGCCTGTAATCTCAACACTTTGGGAGGCCAAGGTGGGTGGATCACCTGAGATCAGGAGTTCGAGACCAGCCTGGTGAACACGGTGAAACCCCATCTCTACTAAAAATACAAAAATTACCCAGCATGATGGTGGGTGCCTGTAATCCCAGCTACTTGGGAGGCTGAGGCAGGAGAATCACTTGAACCCAGGAGGCAGAGGTTGCGGTGAGCCAAGATCACACCACCACACTCCAGCCTAGACAACAGAGCGAGACTCTGTCTCAAAAAAAAAAAAAAAAAGAAAGAAAGAAAGAAAAGGAAAGAGATTTAATTGGTTCGTGGTTTTCTGGGCCATACAAACATGGCAATGGCCTCTGCTCAGCTTCTGGAGAGGCCTCAGGGAGCTTTTACTCATGGTGGAAGGTGAAGAGGGAGCAGGCATGAACTCACTCACTATCATACGCACAGCAGCACCAAACCATGAGGGAACCTCCCCCATGACCTAAACACCTCCCACCAGGCTCCTCCTCCAATACTGGGGACAACAATTCAACATGAGATTTAGAGGGGACAACATCCAAACTCTATCAGCTCACTCTTATTTTTCACAATATGAGGATATAGCCCAGAGCTACTTTTATCAACTTTCCTCCCTAAAACCTTAGCTGTAGCTCCTCAACAAATAAAAGGTATATTTACAATAGAATAGTTCTTCATGCTAGACACAATATTATAGTTTTTACTAAATCTATAGATTATCTCTAACACCAACTACGCTCTACAAATAGCACTTATCACAGAATTTTAAGCAGAATATGTGACCCATTTTAACAAACTTGGAATAGAAGACTTTTTTTGCTGAGATGGTTCTATCAAAGGAAGCCAACATCACATTCAAAGCATCGATCTTCTCAAAAAAGACATAGGCTGTGCACAGTGATTCACTCCTGTAATCTCAGCATTTTGAGAAGCTGAGGTAGGCGGATCACTTGAGGTCAGGAGTTTCACCAATATGGTGAAATCCTGTCTATACCAAAAAATACAAAAATTAGCCAGGCATGGTGGTGCACACCTGTAGTCCCAGCTACTCAGGAGGCTGAGATGGGAAAATAACTTGAACACGGGAGGCAGAGGTTGTAGTGAGCCCAGATCGTGCCACTCCACTCCAGCCTGGGTGACAGAGTGAGACTCCATCTCAAAAAAAAATAAAAAGAAAAGAAAAAGAAAGAAAAAAGAAAAAAAAAGACATGTACATAGCAAAATCATCAAGATTTGCATTAGACAAAAGAGGTTATAACTTAGACTCAAAGATCTCAACATAATTTGATAAATGTTCAAAAGAAACAACTTCTCCTGATATGTGAGGGTGTTTGGATCAAGAAGTGTAATTCCTTGACTGGGTTGAACCAATCACACCCCTTCCTGGCATTTTATTTTACCTTGGGACCAGAGGGAGAGTGAGTCAGTCCTGTTTCGACTGTGGGAACAGCAAGATGTAAAAACTGGGCCAGTCTGTAGTGACAATGGGGTCCTCAGGTGGAGAAAAGCAAAACAAAGCTTTTCCTTATGACGTTCATCTCTCATTAAAGTCTTTCCTTGATAGAGCCGCATCCTTACCCTTCTTGGTATCTGGTTGTTTGTTCAACCCCTCCTTTGATTATATAAGAAAATCCAGTATCCTATTAAATCCCTTCATATGCTTAAGCTAATTTGAGTTGATCTTTTATCACATTCAAAGAAAAAAAAAGCAACTCATGATTAATGCACCATTGAACTGAAAATATATGAACTATTTGTCTCAAGGAATTTCAGGGCTATGTCAGGATTTTTCGTTCTTGATATAAGGAGGCCAAATCCTTTGATAGAGCTGCCAAATGATCCCTACCTTAAAAGGGCTCTGCAAGATCTGAGGGAGATGAAAGCAGTCAGAGGATAGCCCTGTTGTGGATCAGACATTTACATAAAAGGAAAGCACCCAGCACATCTGCATAGGAGCACACTGCCTGGCTGAGGACAGATGCTAATAAGAATCTCATACCCTTCCCCTGGGCTTGCTGAGCTACCCATAAAGGGGATGCACTAATGTGCCCGTGAGACCTGAGCCTTTGAATATCGAGATAGAATCTTCAAGATAGTATTCAGTAGAGAGGTCGTATATGAGCCAATCACATACAAGTCATGTCAGTGATTCACAATAACTTTTAGACAATTCAAGAATGCCATTTACATGAGTGAATCCCACCAGTAATTTTTTTCCTAGACAGAAGCTTCAAACACCAGGCTGTCACATTCAAAACATTCTATGGCCCAATTCCTATGAAGCCTTCACAAGCTCCTTAGAATCAGGTGCCTCTGCAGGGGAAGCAAGCAGGCAAGGGAGAAGGGGAAGGGGCAGGGGAGGGGGCCAGGAGGAGAGCCTGCTCGCTGGTTCCAGCTCCACGCAATGAAAGTGACCTTAGCTCCCTAGGTCAACATCTGCGGGTGCCAGTCCTGCCCCCTGAAGCCTGATATTCTGAAAGGAGGAGCCACACCCTACCTGGCAAGAGAAGAGGAGGAAGACCAGTTCTAGAGAAAACCTTTAACTTGATGGCATGTTCCATCCCCCATTCAGCACCACTTCCCAGGTCCTCCTGATAGTGGGTTGAATCATGTCCCACCCCCCGTTCACGTCCAACCAGAGCCTCAGAAGTGCCCTTGTTTGGAAATAGGGTCTTTGCAGATGCATTTGCTAGAACCTCGAGATTAAATTATCCTGGATTTAGGGTAGGCTGTAAATCTAATGACTGATGTGCTTATTACAAGAGAAGAAGACACAGACAGACATGGACAGCGAAGGAAGCCATGCGAAGAGAAAGGCAGAGATCAGAGGGAGGCTGCCACAAGTTGCGGAGTGCTGGGGCCACCAGAAGCTAGGAAGAGGCAAAGAAGGATTCTTCTCTAAAGCCTTCATGGGGAGCTTGGCTCTGCTGACACCTTAATTTTGGAGTTCTAGCCTCCAGAACTGTGAGAGAATAAACGTCTGTTTTGTTTCTGTTTTTGTTTTTGTTTTTTTGAGACAGAGTCTCGCTCTGTCGCCCAGGCTGGAGTGCAATGGTGCGATCTCGGCTCACTACAATCTCTGCCTCCCGGGTTCAAGCGATTCTCCTGCCTCAGCCTCCCGAGCAGCTGGGATCACAGGAGCCTGCCACCACACCCGGCTAATTTTTGTAGTTTTAGTAGAGACTAGTTTTCGCCATGTTAGCCAGGCTGATCTCAAACTCCTGACCTGGTGATCCACCCACCACAGCCTTCCAAAGTGCTGGGATTACAGGCGTGAGCCACTGCGCCCAGCCTGAACCAGTTCTTATTAGAAAAGATGATAGTGACCGGGTGCGGTGGCTCACATCTGTAATCCCAGCACTCTGGGAGGCTGAGGCAGGCGGATCACCTGAGGTCGGGAGTCCGAGACCAGCCTGACCAACGTGGAGAAATCCCGGCTCTACTGAAAATACAAAATTAGCCAGGCGTGGTGACACGTGCTTGTAATCCCAGCTACTCGGGAGGCTGAGGCACGAGAATCGATTGAACCCAGGAAGCGGAGGCTGCAGTGAGCTGATATCTGCCACTGCACTCCAGCCTAGGCAACAAGAGCAAAACTCCATCTCAAAAAAAAAAAAAAAAAAAAAAAAAAAAAACGCCAGCGGGGTGGCTTACGCCTGTAATTCCAGCACTTTGGGAGGCCAAGGCGGGCAGATCATGAGGTCAGGAGACCAAGACCATCCTGGCCAACATGGTGAAACCTCATCTCTACTAAAAATACAAAAATTACCTGGGCGTAGTAGCGCATGCCGGTAATCCCACCTACTCAGGTGGCCGAGGCAAAAAAAAAAAAAAAAAAAAAAAAGGATGATACCACCATTTCCCCAAAACATTTCCATTTTTAAAGAGGATCCTTAAAAACAAATCCTCAGTTGGTAGAATGTCCTATATGGGGGGAATATTTGAGGACTAGACACAGCTTCCCTTCTGAACAAGAAGAAACATTCACCCTGGGATTCTCCAGGTTAGGATTTGGGTGCCTTTAGAGGGACTTCAGAGCAAGAACTCAGTTCCCCCGAGAGCTCCTGCCACCAACCCACCCAACTGATTCCCATCAGGCAAGATCATGTCAAAAATGCTTTCCTCATCTTGGCTGTATATATTCCCCCACCATCTTCCTAGCCCTGCATCCCAATCACACAAAGCCATGAGAGCTAAAACAGACCTTAGAGATCCCCTCACTCAAAGTCCTCAGTATACAGGTAAGGAAACAAAGTCCCAGATAAGCATTGAGGCCATGTAGTTCACAGGACTGAGATGAGAACCATGATCTCTTCCACTCCAGATACAGTAACTTAGCTGGGCATGGTGTCATGTGCTTGTAATTCCAGCTACTCAGGAGGCTGAGGCATGAGAATCGCTTGAACCCAGGAGGCAGAAGCTGCAGTGAATCGAGATCGTGCTACTGCACTCCATCCTGGGTGACAGGGAGAGAATCTGCCTCAAAAAGAGAAAGAAAGAAAGAAATACAGTAACTGACACTTGTTGGTTGCTCACCATGTGCCAGGCACTGTGCTTAGTGCTTTGGATACATTAGCTCATTCAGTTCCCTCTGAGATATGCAAACCCTTCGTTAAATTCACAAACATATGCAAGAATGTACAAGAATAGTCCACTACCAAAAAAGAAAAAAGATGGCAAGAAGATGATGCAAAACATTTCTTTTCCGATTGAGAACCTTTCAGCTTGTCGGCTAAGATGCATCTGAGTGATCCTTCTCTTTCTGGTCTCATCCTCTGGCCCCCTCACTCAGGATCCTTCTGGCCCTTTCTCCCCTATGTTCTCCCCCCATGGGAGTTGGTTGCCCCTTGTAGACAGGAGGGGCACCGTGAGATCCTCAGTGTTCTGAGTGTCAGTTCTGTATGTCCTGAGAAGGCCTTGCCAAGCCTTTATTGGGTCCAAGAAGAAGCATCCCCAGCATGGAGCATCTACAGGAAAAAACCTCCTCTTGCTAACATAACCACCGTTCACAGCAAAACTTCAATCGGTTATCCAAACAAAGCTTTGGTCTTTTCTCTGTCTTCTTGTGCACCCATTCAGCACCTAGACTGAAGATGGTCAAGGAGAGGGGAGAAGAATTGGGAGGGCAAAAGAAAACCCCGTTCTGCCACAGAGAGGTGCTCCTCTGAAGTGGAGTGAGGTTAAGTAACTTGACCAAAGAACTAAGGAACCAAAGGGCCAGCTTCAAACCGGGCTCTGTTTTTGTCTGCTATGTCTCATCTGCTCAGGGAGTTGAACTGTAACAGTCCAGAGAGTTTGGCCCTAGGCCTCTGCTTCCTTAGCTATCTTCTAGTGACCAGGGAAACCATCTCAGCCTCAGCCACGCCCTTGTCAGGACCCCTCTAAGAATTGGGGTTAATTTTGGAAGTAGGGTGAGCTCAGAGCAGCTGGAAAGTTGACAGTGCTCATGTCTTTCACTACCTCTTTGTGTTCCTGTCCTCATTCCTCCATCTTTATCATTCATTTTTTGAGACAGGGTCTCACTGTCTTGCCCAGGCTGGAGTGCAGTGGTGTGATATTAGCTCACTGAAACCTCTGCCTCCTGGGTTCAAGTGATTCTCATGCCTCAACTTCCCCAGTAGCTGGGATTACAGGTGCACACTACCAGGCTAATTTTTGTATTTTTAGTAGAGAAGGGTGTTGACATCTTGGCTAGGCTGGTATTGAACTCCTGACCTCAACTGATCCACCCGCCTCAGCCTCCCAAAGTGCTGGGATTACAGGCATGAGCGACCATGCCTGGCCTGGTCTTTATCAATTATAACTCAGACCACATAGTTGCGTGGCCTCCATTTCCCAGTTCATGCTGACCTGGAGGCATAAAGAAGCCACACTGATGATCGTGATTCTGCAGTCGCTTCCCTCTGGGGCCTCCTGCTCCCCTTTCCCACATCAAGCCTCCACCCTAGGGTATTTCACCAGCACTTATTCACATCCACACTCTACTGACCCTGCTTGCATGAGAAATGAGGGGACTGAGCTTCTTGCTGTGGCTCCCACCACGTACCAACCTGCCAGGCAGACACTGCCTCTGGTCAGTACTCCCAAAAGGACACACCATGGGTGCCTCTGAAGTGGGGAGAACCTCCTTCAATACCTTATGCAGAAACCTGTAGATACACCAGATATCTGGGTCTGATCCCTGAAGACCTTTATTTCTTGGACATGTTGACGTAAGCCACATGCCTGTGCCCCTTCTTCCCTTTGTTCCTTCTTGATGAATGAAAAAAAAGATGGTGGCTAGAACTGGAGCAACCAACATAGACTACAGGTGACCTTGGAGAAAGAGGCCACGGGCTGCTGATTAACAAGCTAGAATGAGCATTTGATGACTACATCAACTGGATTTGCTTCCAGACTCTCATATGAGAGAGAAACAAACTTCTATCTCCTTTGACACACTGCTGTTTTGGGATTTCTGTACATCATGGTTGAACCTAATCCTACTAACATCCTTTAGTTCTGTTTGTACTTAATGTGCTCAGTTAAGCATGTTTAGTTGCAAGTAACAGAATACCAGGCCAGTGGAGATTTGAGCCATAAGACGTTTCATTGTCCTCCATTATAAGATGTCTTGAGGTAGGGAGTTTCAGAATGTGTTCCATGGTTCAGCAGCACCAGGACACAAGGACAGCACCTCTGGGGTTCTCCAGAACTGCCACTCCTGGTCACAATCTGGCTGCAGCAGCACACTCTCACACAACAGCATCCAGAGCAGGAACGAACTCTGTTATTAGTAAGAAAATCTTTCCCATCAGTCTCTGAGCAGGTTTCCCCTTACAACTCACTACCCACCCCTAGTCCAGTCACTGCCAATGGAGAGCAGGATTGCCCAAACTGGTGAAGCCCATAGTAATTTATCCCCTCTTTGGTGAGGCACATCGTCATTCAATCAAAACCACCGCTCCATTAGCAAACAAGCAGAAAGAATAGTTGGGAAGTGGGCATGGGGGTGGGCAACCAGCGTGTCTGCCTCACAAATCAAAACACTCGCTCTGCAGGGATAAAGGCATTTGGGTCCTTTATTTGATTTTGTTCTCTATTTGGGTTGACATGGTTCTAAAAGTCCAAAACTAATTCATTCACTTAAGACATGTAGCTTTTCTACTTAAAATAGACTACCTGATTATTCGGAGCTAAGGAAGAACTAAGTGGGAACAATATTTAACCAATCTAACAATTAGGAAAGATGATTTTATCTTTTATGCTCTCGGAGAGAAACAAGAGTTGCTTATTTTAAGAAACACCCATCTCAGAGGCTCTGGAGCCATTCTCTCCCAGCCTGCCTCCCTGGATTGTTGGTTCTATTCTTGAATCTTGTGTCTGCTCTTTCTCCATGGAGCTCGCTGGATCTCCTTCCTCATGCAATTCCCTCCCTTTTCTTCCAGGCTGGCCCTGTGCCTCCTCTTTTGTTATTGTTCCTTTTCTCTTTATTTGTTTTGTCTTTCTTGCCCCTTTCCTCCTCCCCCTGCCTTTCAACCACTCCTAATGTTGAAGCATTCCTGCTAGAATCTGCTCTTTCATTAGATTTGTTTCCATGTTTATTTTTGTCACTTTTAAAAGCAGGTGAGTTAAATGTTTGTACACTGCCTTCATAGAAAAAGCTTTTACAAAATTAAACTAAACTAAATGACACACACACAAAAACAACCTTCCCCATTTCTGTCATGTGACTGATTAATTGCACTCAGTATTTGGTCTTGTGATGGAAAGGACTAGCAAAATGCAATATCCTATCAGGCTCTCTTCTTTGATTTGATCTAATTAATTCAGCCAAGCTCTGGCAGACAGTGCAAAGCCATATGGGCTGTCATGAAGCCCAGCAAATATTCATGTAGCTGGAACCTCTCAGGTACTTGGCTATCGACACAGAGATCTGGCTTGGACCCAGCACTGAGCTGGAGTGTCCTGCATGGGGGCTGCTGTGGACTGAATTGCATTTGTCCAAAATCCATATGTTGAAGCCCTAACCCTCAATGTGACTATATTTGGAGATAGGGTTTTTAGGAGATAATTAAGGTTAAATGATGTCATCAGGGTGGGGCTGTAATTTGGTAGTACTGTGGCCTTATAAAAAGAGGAAGAAAAAGATCTCTCTCTCTCTCCTCTGCCATGTGAGAGCACCACAAGAAGGTAGCCATCTGCAAGCCAGCAAAAAGAGCCCTCAAAAGAGACTGAATCTGCTGGCACCTTGATCTTGGACTTCTCAGCCCCCATAATAGTGTGGAAATTAGTTTCTATTGGCTAAGTCATGCAGCCTATGGTATTTTGTTATTGCTGACCAAGCTGACTCATACAGGGCATGATGTGAGCACAAAGTGATGACTAAAACAACATGGAACAATTCCCTACCCAGCCTCCTCCCAGCTTTTGTAGTTGAAGCTCCATCCACCTAAGTGGACTCAGCTTGTTCATCTGTGAATCAATAGAGTAAACTCTGGCTTCTGGGTGGGGTGGTGGTGGGGATGGGGAGTATAGTCACCTGGTGGGTTCATCTTGTCCACTGCACAGACAAAACCAATTCACTGAGACACGGGCATTGCTGTAGAGAAAGAGCTTAATTATCGCAAGGCTAAACAAGTTTCTACTTGTTTAGATGGGAGTAATTAGTCAAACCACCCTCCCTGAAATCTTGGAGGCTAGAGTTTTACAAGGATAGTTTGGTAGGCAGGGGGCTACGGCATGGTGAGCGCTGATTGGTTGGGGATGCAATCATAGGGTGTGAAAAACAGTCCTTGGGCAGAGTCAGCCTCTGGGTGGAAGCCACGGGAATAGCAGTTGACTCATGAGTCATGAGTCCAGGTAGTCAGTCAGTCACCAGAATGCAAAAGTCTGAAAAACATCTGAAAAGACCAATCTTAGGTTCTACAAGAGCAATGTTATCTATAGGGTCAATTAGGGAAGTTATGAATCTTGTGACCACCCCTACACAACTGCTGAACAGTAAACAATGACTAGTTACCATTCAGCTATGCATAGATCTTAACAGAAATTAGGCCTCTATCATAATCCTAATCTCATGGCCTTTCATTAGTTTTACAAAGGCAGTTTCAGTCCCTAAACAAGGAGGGAGTCAGTATTAGGGAGGGACTATTATCCTCCTTGCTTCAAAGTTAAACTATAAACTAAATTCCTCCCATGGTTAACTTGGCCTATGCCCAGGAATGAGCAGAGAGCCAGACTGTGAGGCTAGATGCAAGATGGAGTCAGTTAGGTTACATTTTTCTCACTGTTATAATTTTTGCGAAGGCAGTTTCAGGAGGGAACAAAATTTTGCTGAAATAAATGATACCTCTTTCATATTTGTGGTGATTTATTTATTTCTAGGATGATTTTCTCTTTACATTTTAACCATAAAATTTTTAGTATGTATCTCTTAACAATACTCTTAAAAATAACCATTATTATAACATCGTTCAAAACTGAATTCCACAATATCATCAACTATCTAGTATGTGTTCCTACTTCTAATTATTTCATAATGCATTAATGTGTGCATTTTCATTTTTACACATTGTTTATTTGAATCAGGTTCCAAATAAGGCTCACCAATGCCAATTGGTTATGATGTCTCTAAGTCTCTTATAATCTATAGGATCCTCTTTCATCATTTT
Source organism: Homo sapiens (assembly GCF_000001405.40). NCBI lineage: Eukaryota > Metazoa > Chordata > Mammalia > Primates > Hominidae > Homo > Homo sapiens. The sequence continues at coordinate 17,180,747 of NC_000006.12, forward strand.
ATTTCATTGAATTTCTGTTGTTGTTGATGAAGAAAACAGGGTGATGTACCATATAGAGTTTCCCAGTTTGGATGTTCTCATTATATCCCCATGGTGTTTTTTGTTTGTTTGCTTGTTTTTGTTTTCTGTTTGTTTGTTTTTGAGACAGAGTTTCACTCTTGTCGCCCAGGCTGGAGTGCAGTGGCGCGATCTCTGCCCACTGCAACCTCCGCCTCCCAGGTTCAAGTGATTCTCCTGCCTCAGCCTCTCAAGTAGCTGGAATTACAGGCATGTGCCACCACGCCTGGCTAATTTTTGTATTTTTAGTAGAGACGGGGTTTCACCATATTGGCCAGGATGGTCTCAAACTCCTGACCTCAGACGATCCACCCTCCTTGGCCCCCCAAAGTGCTGGGATTACAGGCATGAGCCACCGCGCCTGGCTCTCCATGGTGTTTTAACATGTTACTCTTTATTTTTTTTTGTA